>NC_000010.11:6676666-6828181 GCF_000001405.40 Homo sapiens | reverse complement strand
AGCTCTAATCAAATATAGCATGGATGATCAGTTAAACCAGCTATTCAATTTATTACAACAAACTGTAAGAAAAAGAAATTTCCCATTTTATATTACTCATATTCGAGCACACACTAATTTACCAGGGCCTTTGACTAAAGCAAATGAACAAGCTGACTTACTGGTATCATCTGCATTCATAAAAGCATGAGAACTTCATGCTTTGACTCATGTAAATGCAGCAGGATTAAAAAACAAATTTGATGTCACATGGAAACAGGCAAAAGATATTGTACAACATTGCACCCAGTGTCAAGTCTTACACCTGCCCACTCAAGAGGCAGGAGTTAATCCCAGAGGTCTGCGTCCTAATGCATTATGGCAAATGGATGTCACGCATGTACCTTCATTTGGAAGATTGTCATATGTTCATGTAACAGTTGATACTTATTCACATTTCATATGGGCAGCTTGCGAAACAGGAGAAAGTACTTCCCATGTTAAAAAACATTTATTATCTTGTTTTGCTGTAATGGGAGTTCCAGAAAAAATCAAAACTGACAATGGGCCAGGATATTGTAGTAAAGCTTTCCAAAGATTCTTAAATCGGTGGAAAATTTCACATACAACAGGAATTCCCTATAATTCCCAAGGACAGGCCATAGTTGAAAGAACTAATAGAACACTCAAAACTCAATTAGTTAAACAAAAAGAAGGGGGAGACAGTAAAGAGTGTACCACTCCTCAGATGCAACTTAATCTAGCACTCTATACTTTAAATTTTTTAAACATTTATAGAAATCAGACTACTACTTCTGCAGAACAACATCTTACTGGTAAAAAGAACAGCCCACATGAAGGAAAATTGATTTGGTGGAAAGATAATAAAAATAAGACATGGGAAATAGGGAAGGTGATAACGTGGGGAAGAGGTTTTGCTTGTGTTTCACCAGGAGAAAATCAGCTTCCTGTTTGGATACCCACTAGACATTTGAAGTTCTACAATGAACCCATCGGAGATGCAAAGAAAAGCACCTCCGCGGAGACGGAGACACCGCAATCGAGCACCGTCGAGTCACAAGATGAACAAAATGATGATGTCAGAAGAACAGATGAAGTTGCCATCCACCAATAAGGCAGAGCCGCTGACTTGGGCACAACTAAACAAGCTGACGCAGTTAGCTACAAAATGTCTAGAGAACACAAAGATGACACAAACTCCAGAGAGTATGCTGCTTGCAGCATTGATGATTGTATCAACGGTGGTAAGTCTCCCTATGCCTGCAGGAGCAGCTGCAGCTAATTATACCTACTGGGCATATGTGCCTTTCCCGCCCTTAATTTGGGCAGTCACATGGATGGATAATCCTATAGAAGTATATGTTAATGAGAGTGTATGCGTACCTGGCCCCACAGATGATCGCTGCCCTGCCAAACCTGAGGAAGAAGTGATGATGATAAATATTTCCACTGGGTATCGTTATCCTCCTATTTGCCTAGGGAGAGCACCAGGATGCTTAATGCCTGCAGTCCAAAATTGGTTGGTAGAAGGACCTACTGTCAGTCCCATCAGTAGAATCATTTCTTACATGGTAAGTGGGATGTCACTCAGGCCACGGGTAAATTATTTACAAGACTTTTCTTATCAAAGATCATTAAAGTTTAGACCTAAAGGGAAACCTTGCCCCAAGGAAATTCCCAAAGGATCAAAAAATACAGAAGTTTTAGTTTGGGAAGAATGTGTGGCCAATAGTGCGGTGATATTACAAAACAATGAATTTGGAACTATTATAGATTGGGCACCTTGGGTCAATTCTACCATGATTGCACAGGGCAAACTCAGTCGTGTCCCAGTGCACAAGTGAGTCCAGCTGTTGATAGCGACTTAACAGAAAGTTTAGACAAACATAAGCATAAAAAATTATAGTCTTTCTATCCTTGGGAATGGGGAGAAAAAGGAATCTCTACCCCAAGACCAAAAATAAGAAGTCCTGTTTCTGGTCCTGAACATTGAGAATTATGGAGGCTTACTTAGCCTCATACCACATTAGAATTTGGTCTGGAAATCAAACTTTAGAAACAAGGGATTGTAAGCCATTTTATACTATCGACCTAAATTCCAGTCTAACGGTTCCTTTACAAAGTTGCGTAAAGACCCCTTATATGCTAGTTGTAGGAAATATAGTTATTAAACCAGACTCCCAAACTATAACCTGTGAAAATTGCAGATTGTTTACTTGCATTGATTCAACTTTTATTTGGCAGCACCGTATTCTGCTGGTGAGAGCAAGAGAAGGCATGCGGATCCCTGTGTCCATGGACCAACCGTGGGAGGCCTCGCCATCCGTCCATGTTTTGACTGAAGTATTAAAAGGCATTTTAAATAGATCCAAAAGATTCATTTTTACTTTAATTACAGTGATTATGGGATTAATTGCAGTCACAGCTATGGCTGCTATAGCAGGAGTTGCGTTGCACTCTTCTGTTCAGTCAGTAAACTTTGTTAATGATTGGCAAAAGAATTCTACGAGATTGTGGAATTCGCAATCTGGTATTGATCAAAAAATGGCAAATCAAATTAATGTTCTTAGACAAGCTGTCATTTGGATGGGAGACAGGCTCATGAGCTTAGAACATCGTTTCCAGTTACAGTGTGACTGGAATACGTCAGATTTTTGTATTACACCCCAAGTTTATAATGAGTCTGAGCATCACTGGGACATGGTTAGACGCCATCTACAGGGAAGAGAAGATAATCTCACTTTAGACATTTCCAAATTAAAAGAACAAATTTTTGAAACATCAAAAGCCCATTTAAATTTGGTGCCAGGAACTGAGGCAATCGCAGGAGTTGCTGATGGCCTCGCAAATCTTAACCCTGTCACTTGGGTTAAGACCATCGGAAGTACTATGATTATAAATTTCATATTAATCCTTGTGTGCCTGTTTTGTCTGTTGTTAGTCTGCAGGTGTACCCAACAGCTCTGAAGAGACAGTGACCATTGAGAACGGGCCATGATGACGATGGCTGTTTTGTCGAAAAGAAAAGGGGGAAATGTGGGGAAAAGAAAGACAGATCAGATTGTTACTGTGTCTGCATAGAAAGAAGTAGACACAGGAGACTCCATTTTGTTCTGTATTAAGAAAAATTCTTCTGCTTTGAGATGCTGTTAATCTGTAACCTTACCCCAACCCCGTGCTCTCTGAAACACATGCTGTGTCAACTCAGGGTTAAATGGATTAAGGGCTGTGCAGGATGTGCTTTGTTAAACAGATGCTTGAAGGCAGCATGCTCCTTTAGAGTCATCACCACGCCCTAATCTCAACTACCCAGGGACACAAACACTGCGGAAGGCCACAGGGACCTCTGCCTAGGAAAGCCAGGTATTGTCCAAGGTTTCTCCCCATGTGATAGTCTGAAATATGGCCTCGTGGGAAGGGAAAGACCTGACCGTCCCCCAGCCCAACACCCATAAAGGGTCTGTGCTGAGGAGGATTAGTATAAGAGGAAGGCATGCCTCTTTGCAGTTGAGACAAGAGGAAGGCATCTGTCTCCTGCCCATCCCTGGGCAATGGAATGTCTCGGTATAAAACCCGATTGTATGTTCCATCTACTGAGATAGGGGAAAACCGCCTTAGGGCTGGAGGTGGGACATGTGGGCAACAATACTGCTCTGTAAGGCATTGAGATGTTTATGTGTATGCATATCTAAAGCACAGCACTTAATTCTTTACCTTGTCTATGATGCAGAGACCTTTGTTCACGTGTTTATCTGCTGACCTTCTCTCCATTATTATCCTATGACCCTGCCACATCCCCCTCTCTGAGAAACACCCAAGAATGATCAATAAATACTAAGGGAACTCAGAGGCTGGTGGGATCCTCCGTATGCTGAATGCTGGTCCCCTGGGCCCCCTTATTTCTTTCTCTATACTTTGTCTCTGTGTCTTTTTTCTTTTCCAAGTCTGTCATTCCACCTAATGAGAAACACCCACAGGTGTGGAGGGGCAACCCACCCCTTCATCATTCCAAAATGGTTTTTTGGGATGAGTTAGAAAGGTATTATTATTCCCTTTGCAAAGATTAGAAAACTGAGATGCTAGAAGATTAAATGAATCATCGAACACATGCTTTGGGCAATGTTTTGAATAAATATTTGAAAATATGATTGAATTATGCTGCACATATATAAGGTCAGAGAACAAGTCAACAATAGTAAGAACTGATTTCCTCACTCCAACTCAAGCTCTTGCATCTATACTACACTGTCTGAGTCACACCAAAAGTAAACTCTCAAAAATACCTTTAAGTTGGCCCTCTTTCTAGGTCTGATTTTTAAAAAGCCTTCCAAACACATAAAAAATTTTAAATTGTTGACATGTACATGTGGATATTTATCTTTACACACATACTTTGGCTTTACAAATTTAATTTTTATTTTATATTTGTGTTTGGTACCTTTTAATTGTTTAAAACAGGTGAACCAAACATTGATTTCATTTCTTATAAGTGTGATTTTGCTTCAAGAGGGGAATTTGAAATTATCCTACCAATTTTTCTGATTGCTTTTGCAGTCACACAAATATGGTGTGTGTTTTCTTAAAGACAGTTCTTGGTAGTGCTTATTCTTTTGTTAACTTATTCCAACAATATTTGAGCGCTCTTATGGGCAGGCACTGTGCAGTCTTCTGAGAACACAGAGGTGAATAAAATCTCATTCTTGATGTCTCCAAGGAGTTCATTATCTAATGGTATAGAGAGACACATGAACAAACAATAGAATAAGCTAATAGCAGAGGCAGGAGACAAGTTCTACAGATATAAAGATATTACTTCCCATGGCTATTTTTCCCTGTGAAAAAAATTCACATCTTCTGACGTTGAGTAGAATAACACAGTTGTACAGAAAGTACAACAGGTACATTAAGAAATATAGTCTGTCCTGAAAAACAATTAATATACTAGTAAAATGAGAATACACTAGTTAAATAAAAATGAAGGCTGGTCTTGAACTCCTGGCCATCCTCTCACCTCAGCCTCCTAAAGTGTTGGGATTACAGATGTGAACCACCACACCAGGCCTCAATGGCAATTTTTTTTTTTTCCTGAGACAGAGTTTTGCTCTTGTTGCCCAGGCTGGAGTGCAATGGTGCAATCTTGGCTCACTGCAACCTCTGCCTCTTGGGTTCAAGCGATTCTCCTGCCTCAGCCTCCTGAATAACTGGGATTACAGACACCCGCCCCAACTAATACTTGTATTTTTAGTAGAGATGGGGTTTCACTATGTTGGCCAGGCTGGTCTTGAACTCCTGACCTCGTGATCTGCCCACCTTGGCCTCCCAAAGTGCTGGGATTACAGGAGTGAGCCACCGCACCCCGTCTCATTGGCATTTTTAATGCCTAAACTTGTCATTCTCACCCTAACAATGTTCTCGCGGGTCACCTATAATACCGTTGTATTGGCTTTCCTGATTCAGGTTTTTCTTTCCTCCAAACCATGACCAAATTTACCCTTCCATCACCATGTCGCTGTTACCACCTACAAGGGTTCCTACAAAAGAAGGGGTTAAGCGCCTGGAACTCAAGACCTGCTGTGATGTGGCTCCCAGCACAGTCTTCTCAGGCAGCCAGGACCTCTCCTGCCCCACCTCAACTCCATCTCTACCTCTGTCTATTCAGCAGCAACAGCCCTTACAACTAGATCCACAGCCCCATGCTCCTTGGGAGCTAAAACTGACTTTCCAGGTTGATTATAATCACACCTTCCTTTCATTTTTACAATCTAATTTTGTTTTCTCTCAAAAATTATTTATTTATTTTAATGACATATAATAGTTATACATATTTTTGGGGTACAGGTGATCTTTTGATACCTATATACAATGTGTCATGTTCCACTCAGGGTAATTGAGTTATCAATCACCTCAAACATGTATATTTTGTGTGTGTGTTGGGATCATTACAAATCTTCTCTCCTAGCTACTCTGGAATACGCAATAAGTTATTGTTAGCTATAATTTCTCTACTGGCAACCTAGTGTTTATACATTCTTTCAGACTCACTTCAAACCCTCTCTCTTTTGTAATAGCTTCATGACTCTCCCCACTGCCCCCCCCAGCACATAATTTTTTATCTTCTAGAAATTTTCTTAATCTTATATTCCATACTACAAAAACTAACAATGGATTGCATTCCTCCTTGTGTTTGCTTTACTGGGTGTCTACTTCACCTAAAGATTCTTATGAGATCCAGGTCAGCACGGATTGTGTCTTCTACTTTGTTTTGTGATTAGGATATCTCCTGACATTGTGCTGGGAATACCAGATTTTCCAAACAGACTCTATTTGATGAATAATAATATTTCTGTGTCCTGTTTCTTCCATAACGTCCTTTGCTTTCCTCCCAGAGACATAACCTAAAATGAGAGGAAACAAGCTCAGGTGGTGGCCGGTTCCAAGATGTGAAACTGTAAGGAATCAAAGGCACGAGGCAACACGGCTTTGTGGCCTGGCATTAGCATTCAGTGCAAATAGGGGTAGAATGCCTTCCTTTGTACTTCAGTGCAGTGACCATCCACGTCAAGGGAGGAGACCGAGGACATCCCGCCCATGGTCCAGAGAGCAATGTAGCCCAAACTCAAGAATGAGAATGAACTGGGACAGGGAGAGGGCCAGCTTCACGGTGTACGATGAATGCAGTGTGTGCAGGAGGGACTCACACTTGGTTTAACACTCTGCTGTTGCCATCTTGAAATTCTTAATAGGTTTTTCCCCCCCGCAGACAGGGTCTTACTCTCTTGCCCAGGCTGGAGTGCAATGCTGTCATACCTCACTGCAGCCTTGAATTCCTCCCACCTAAGCCCCTTGAGTATCTGGTGTCTGCCACCATGCCCAGCTAATTTTTTAAGTTTTATCTAGAAACAGGTTCTCACTAAGTTACCCAGGCTGGTCTCCAGCTGAGACTCAAACTCTCTTTTCACCTTGGCCTCCCAAATCACTGAGATTACAGGGGTGAGCCAAGACTTCTGGCCTTAGTAGTTTTCTTTTTTTTTTTTTTCTTTGAAATAGAATCTTGCTCTGTCTCCCAGACTGGAGTGCAGAGGGGTGATCTCGGACCACTGCAGCCTCTGCCTCCTGGGTTCAAATGATTCTCCTGCCTCAGCCTCCTGAGTAGCTGGGATTACAGGCACCCACCATCACACCCGGCTAATATTTGTATTTTTAGTAGAGATAGTGTTTCACCATGTTGGGCAGGCTGGTCTCGAACTCCTGCCTCAAGTGATCCACCCACCTCGGCCTCCAAATGTTCTGGGATTACAGGTGTGAGCCACTGCAACTGGCCATGGCCTTAAGAGTTTTCCTAAACAAGATGTCTACATTTTCATTTTGTACCAGGACCTGAAAATTATGTAGGTGGTCCTGACTCCAGACGCATTCACAACACAAAACGGCCCACGTGAGAGCTCCAGGAACATCTTGGCAGTGGCATTGGGCCTAAAGAGCCACCACTGGACATGACAGAAGAGAAGGGTCCCACACAGTGGCCTGGAAATCTGCATTTGTGAGTGCACATCAGGCACCACCTCAAACCCCAGGAACAAAGGGGGCAGAGTTGAGAGTTGGCTTCCTGCAATTCTGCAGATGGGTGGTGAACAGAAGAAAAACTTTCTGTTATGGTTACTGTAAACCCATAATGTAATCCCTTGGCAATGGCCGCCTGAGGGAAAAATAGACTTCAGTCAAAAAGAAAAAGGAAACTGACGTGAGAGAGAAAAACCATAGCATTCAGAAATAAAATAACTTTGAAAACATTTACTCTCTCAGATATCCAAGGGGGGCTGTTAGAGACAAGACTTATGCCAGACTTACGATCTCCTATATATATGCTAAAAATGTATTGGTATTCTTTTGAAAAAGAAAAGCAAAAGAATTCAAGTATTCACCCAGGAAATAATACAACTAGGTTATTGTGTTTGGGCTCATATAAACACAGAAACACAGAGAAATCAGCACAAACTCCTTTTGCAAACCAGTTAACGTGATTTCGCCAAGGAACCAGCATATCTGAGAGTGTGGCACATACTTGGGTCTCCTTGACTGTTTGCTACATGAGTGAATGAAATCTGGTGATCAGATCAGCAAACTTCCAGAGCCCAGGAAGCTTCCTGAAACCTGTAAGTAGGCAGGAGTAGGAACACACATGGCAGAGGGAAAAACAAAAAGATAAACAAGCCAAGAACCTGTCATTATTCATCAAAACGAGAAAGAGATAAAGGAAATATGGAGGCAAGAAATGCACGTCATTATTATAGCATTGCTAAGATGACTACTGCTGATGGCCAAAGCCCATGGAAGATTTCCCGCGAACGCTTGTAAAAATCACTGCACGTGTGTTAACTGCTTTGATATTTTCACATGAAGTGGAAAATATGATCCATAATTCACAGAAGGAGAAAGCGGACCCACAGAGGGACTTATCCCCTGCCCTCCTTCTCCTCTCCTCAGCCCCAGGGGCCATTAAACTGCCAGAGCCTTTTGTTCTGGGGCTCCCTCAAAAGTGAGATGACCCAAGGTCTGTGCAGATCCACCAGCACACCATTCCACGGTGGAGAGGAACAGAACGGTGGGAGGTGACGCCTTCCTGGATCAGCCTCCTGCTCGTGCCATGCAGTGAGTGACCCAATCTCACAGCGGGGAGGAACAGAAAGTTAGGAGGCTATGCCTTCCCGGATCAGCCTCCTGCTCGTGCCATGCAGTGAGTGACCCAATCTCACAGCGAGGAGGAACAGAAAGTTGGGAGGTGATGCCTTCCCAGGTCAGCCTCCTGTTCATGCCATGACAGCGAGTGACCCAATCCCATGGAGGGAGAAACAGAACGGTGGGAGGTGACACCTTCCCAGGTCACCCTCCTGCTAGTGCCATCACAGTGGGTGGCCCAATCCCACAGGAGGGAGAACAGAACGGTGGGAGGTGAAGCCTTCCCAGGTCACCCTCCTGCAAGTGCCATCACAGTGGGTGACCCAATCCCACAGGATGGACAACAGAATGTTGGGAGGTGACACCTTCCCGGGTCAGCCTCCTGCTCATGACATGACAGTGAGTGACCCAATCCCACGGAGGGAGGAACAGAATGATGGGAGGTGACGCCTTCCTGGGTCAGCACCCTGCTCTGCTCATGCCATCACAGTGGGTGATCCAAGGCTCACCTCCTCTTTCATTCTGGTTTACATTCAATGAACTCCAGCACAGGCAGCTCAGCTCTCTCTCCCACTCAGCTGAGCTCCTGACAGAAGTCAGCTTCATTTTGTTTTTTTGTTGTCCACCTCTAATGAATGCCACATGAGATGAAACAAATGTGCTGTAAATGCCTGAAGGAGGAATCTGTTGAGCTGGCTCAGTCTTTCCTGAAGAAGCTCCATTGCTGGGCTGGGATGCTGCTGCTTGTCTTAAGGTGTCCTGCAAGTTGTGGGAAGAATAAGTGCAGGAACTCCCGGACCAGACTCATTGTCACTGCACAGGTGCTAATTTGTCAGAAGGATACCTGTCATTGGCAGGTGATGCTGGCTTCCTTCAGCCTCTGTGCATAACTGAGATATAATTTAGCAAGAATATCATTTCATCATTTTTGTAACTTAAGTTCCTTTCCCCTGCATGTCAACATCACCAGGGAAGCCTACGGGGCACCAACCTTTGAACAGGGGCTTGGCATAGGTAAACACAGCAAAAAGATACTAGTGGAGCTGAAATTTCTTTTCAAATGAATCAATTGTCTGCCCTTTGACTAAAGATAAACAATTGGCAGAATAACCTAACAAATGAAAAGAGTTTCTCTTTACAATTCTAACTATAAGGGATTATTTTTATTAATTTAAGTCCTTTTCCTTGTTTAATTAAACATGTAAGGCGTACTCATTTTAGAAAAATGTAAAACATAAGTAATAACAATAATAAATTACTTAACATACCACTGCCCAAATTCACCATTGACATTTAACTCTATGAATGTACTTGATTTTTCATTGAATGGGTCATGAACTTCTCTATCAGCTATACATATTTATATATGAAAATATTCTGCTCAATGAATCGTAAATAAGAGACATACATTTGAAATTTAAGCATGCGGCTAAATCTAGAGCACACAGCTGTAAGTTAGAGAAAACTTAATTCACAGCAGTGATTCCCATTGTTTAGAGGAAGGATCCATGCCTGAGAATGCAGATTGTTCATGCCTGGGGCCACTAGTCCACAGAAGAGGTCCTGTCCCTGCTGCCTGTTCCACATTGACCATTCTGGTATGGCTGAAAGAGGCTTATCCCATTAACTGAGGGCAGAATTCAAGGCCCAGTTATCTACATTCTTGCTAACAAAAGTGTTTTGTATTAATTGAAAAAAATGAAACCAAACGTAATTTCTCTAAATGAAGCTCGACATGTATTTAAAGACATGATCTTCGGCTGGGCACAGTGGTTCATGCCTGTAATCCCAGCACTTTGGGAGGCCAAGGCGTGTGGATCACCTGAGGTCAGGAGTTCAAGACAAGCCTGGCCAATATGGTGAAACCCAGTCTCTACTGAAAATACAAAAGTTAGCCAGGCATGGTGGAGAGTGCCTGTAGTCCCAGCTACTCGGAAAGCTGAGGAAGGAGAACTGCTTGAACCTGGGTGGTGGAGGTTACAGTGGGCTGAGATTGCACTACTGCACTCCAGCCTGGGCAACAGAACAAGACTCCATCATGAAAAATAAACTAAAATAAAGACACACTCTTCAGAGATAATCCTGGTTGCCATCTAAAGCAATCTGCCACTTCTCCCCATGTAAGAATGGCAGATACAGGATCTACTCACCCAGCATTGAAAGAAGAAACAAACAACACCTACCATGTATGGAAACATTTTAGGGACAGACCTTATGCCTCATGTTAGAGGCTTTAATATCTCTTACATCATGTAATCATCAATTCTGGGGAAGAGGCATTATTAACACACTATTATAAATAAGATGATTATGGCAGAACTAAGGTAAGTAATAGCTCAGGCAATGTCACACAGCCTCAGGGACAGAGACAGAACTTACTCTGGTGCAGTCTGGCTCCAAGGTCAATGTCTTTCCATAAACTTAACCTGGGCATCCCATTGCTGTAACAGACTCACCCTGAGAGGAAATGAGTGATTATTTACAAAGTAAAGTTGGTGGTAGCTCTTCACTTAACAGTAGCGTGTACGTATCCTCTGTTCTGCTAGTATAAAAGTGCTAGAAAATAAACTGATTCTTGACCGGGCATGGTGGCTCATGCCTGTAACCCCTGCACTTTGGGAAGCCAAGACGGGTGGATCACCTGAGGTCAGGAGTTTGAGACCAGCCTGGCCAACATCGTGAAACCCCGTCTCTACTAAAAACACAAAAATTAGCCAGGCATAGTGGTGGGCACCTGTAACAGCAGCTACTCAGGAGGTTGAGGCAGGAGAATTGCTTGAATGCGGGTGACAGAGGTTGCAGTGAGCCAAGATTACACCACTGCACTCCAGCCTGGGCAACAAAGCAAGACTCTGTCTCAAAAAAAAAAAAAAAAAAAAAAAAAAAAAAAAAAAAAAAAAAAAAAAAAAAAAAAAAAGGAAAGAAAGAAAGAAAGAAAGAAAGAAAAGAAAAAGAAAAAGAAAACAGACTGATTCAGAGTTCAAGCCACTGACCATCCTTGGAGAAAGAGACTTTCTCAGGAACCCCAATAATTAAACACATTAACATCCACCCAAAAGACCCTGAGAAATAAAGAGTCCAAATGCTTTTTTAAAACTTTACCTTATTTCAAAGAATATTATAATTAGAAGAGATCATCTCTATCAAGAGATTTAACTATTTTCATATCCTAGAAATTTAACCTTATGAATTAATAGAAAAAAGTTAAAATATAAATGCCTTCATCAGAGGATTATTTATAATTATAAAAGCAACAATAAGGTACTGTAAACTTTTAACAAGGAACAAATACATATGGTAGAATGCAGACAAATGTCAACAAAACTTGGTTGGAATATAGAAAATATTTATAACATGATATGAAAAACCCAAAGCTGTATTTATAGCCTGAGCTTAAAATGTAAAACAATATGTGTAACAACAGCCTGGAAGAGAAGACACCCAACAGTGGAGCAGGTGTCCTCTCAGGGTGGTGCAATTACAGGTATACTTTTCCCCCTTACACTCCTATGCATATGTTCTTTTTTGCTTTATTAAGCATATATTACATTTAAGAACAGAAAAAACATAAAATTTCAATTTGGAACCACAAGCTGGTCATTTACACCAGTTCTACTCAAACTGTAATATGCGCATGCTCACCTGGGAACTTATTTAAAATTCAGACTCTGATTAAGTTTGAGGCAAATTCTGAGATTCTAGATTTATGTTGATGCTGTGGGTTGGGGACCACAGCTGGAGTGTGGTTTCATGTACAACACACAAGTAAGAATCATTGCAGATCCTCTTAAGTCAGAGGTTTGGAGACCAGAAGCTTCCCTTGTTAAGTTCTTTCCTTATAAACCAAATCTGGAAGTGTTGTTGAATGGCTCCCTACATCTCTCGTGTTGTGATGCCAGCCTGTTCCTTTCCTAGCTGAGCTCTGTTCTGCATGAATTTCAAAATCTGCCGTCCAGCTCATGAGGTTTTCTTCCCCTGGGTAACCTTCCTTTGCCCCTGTTTTGAAATTAAATTCCATTTGTTCTGCTCATGTTGGCGCAAAAATCTTCTCAAGTTAGTTTAAGAAAACCATCACTAAAACAATTTTCTTGAGTAGTATAATTATGAAGCTAGTAATTAGACTCCTCACTACATGAATAGTGTAGTAGTTAGATTACATTCAGACAAGCACCACATACCCCAATCTGTTTTAATCCCCCCCTTAATTGCAATCCTGTTTGTTTGCATAAAAGGGCTTTTAGATGGTAATGATAAGACTATCATATATACTCCTGTACGACTACACCACTTATAAATTGAGGGAGATTTGGTATACAACGTGTTACCCATGATCTTATCCATGGTGGCAGATGTGGGGGAGGCTGGAGGAACTTCTCCAGCATTGTGTCAATGTGGTAAAGGAATGCTAGAATTCAACCTGCGGAAGTGATGTGAGAAGTCACTGAAGTCTGATGCCTCATTGGATGTTCAACATCGTGACATGTTTAGATGCCTTATACCATTCCATTTGTCCAATAAGCCCTGTTTCATACGTGAAAACAGGCTCAGAGAAGGTATGTAATTCATTCAAGTTCAACCAGCGAAGGAAGCAGAGCAGATATTGCAACTCATGCTTTTCTAACTCCAGGGTCCAAATTATTAGCCACTATGCTCAAACAAGGAAGCACATTCTCAGGTCGCCAGCCCATTTTCATTTTATGGAGCCTAAGCCCACGGCTCTCCTTCCACGTGCCTCCCTCCAACTTAGTAAAGTCTTCAGCTTCTCTGATAGGTTAAAGCGTTGAATGCCTCCTGCAAAATTTAGATGGCCCAAGTTTTTGTTGAGAAAGACCATGCCTCGCAAGAGCTGTGGGGCCTGACTGAGCCCACAAAGCCAGAGAGTCTGCAGAAGTTGTTTTCCTGTCTAACAGTGCTGAGCTTTATGGCTTCCCGCAGGGTGGTGGGGAAACATTATGCTAAGAGCATCTCTGAGTTCTCCAGGAGACTCTTCCTGCCTCTTTAATTTGATATTTGCATTTCCTTATCTAGGAAATGAAAATAATTATATCTATGCCTCTAACATTTTAGGGGCGTGTGTGTGTGCATGCACCAAATGAGGTAAGGTGTGTAAAGCATTTTGTAAAATGGAAAATGTTATTGCATGTAAATTATTATTATTATGACTTAACTTGATTTAGAATATGCATTTCTTAATAAAGTGAGTTTATCTCTGGAGTAGTTTAGATGTCGTATGTCATATCAAGGAGAAATAGGATTATATTACATAGAAGTGTTATTTATGTTTATATATTTACCTTATTAAAATATAAAAATACAAGTAGGGTGTTTCCTTAGATGTTGTAAGCCTTCTTTTATATTTTATTCTTTATCCTGGTTTCAATTTGCATGCTTTGAGTTCCCTTTTCAGTAACAGAATTACCCTGTTCTCGGCTGATTGATTCTAGGAATTTGCTGAATGCAGCCAAACTATGACATATTTGCATCTTTAAGGCTTGAAACGTTTTTTCAGTTTTTAAAATGAGTTTATTTTGGGGAAATGTATGATTTCTTGAACTAATGGCAAATTAAGTTAATAAAATTCATACCTGCTGTGGGCAATGATGATTATATATCAAAGGAAAAATAAATCAAAGGCTAAATTCTACACTCTGTAATTGATCACATTTCCCATTCATTTCCATAGAAATACTTTCTGTTTGGGATTATAATGTTGAGGCATAGAGCAATGATTCTCCCTTTTAAGTTGCTTCTCTCTCTGGCCTTCTACTGCTGACACTGTCTCTTTCCTCCTACTTGGTCACCGAAGTGTCAGAGTTTGCTCATCACAAATGTTGACTACTTGGCCTACACTTACAATACTGCAATATTCCTTGCCCTTAGGAAGAATGTTTGTTTGTAATTGTGTTTGCTGATGATTTGTTAACACCAATCACATTTTAAAAACAAACTTGAAAAAAAGCTGGTGCAGAATGGGACACAAAGCTGGAATTCAGGCATCTTTCCCACAAGGCCTTTCTGGCTCTATTTAGCCAAATTCTGGCTCCAATACCCAGATTCTGGCTCTATTTAGTCAATGACATAACCTCCCAGTCCAGTGACCCCTCACTCACATTATGAATTATCGTTCTTAAAGTAAGGCCAATTCAAGAGAATTTAAAAATGACGTGATCTCTGACAATATTTTTGAAACTAGGTAGATTTCACTTAGTATGCATTTTATGGAGATCATAAATCCAAGTCCACCTGAGGCTGGGTCAACCAATTAGAAATCGGGAGATGAGTTAACAAATACTTATTCTACTAGATGTATATCTAAAATGTGTATTTCATTTGAACCCAAATTAGTCTCTTGTGTAGTTTCTATTAAAAATTTGTGCTGAGACAGCTTGATTCTACAGACAATCTTAGCTCTAATCCAGAGCCCTGGAAGTTTCTTAGAATCTGAAATGAGTGATAGTAGCTTTTGTGCTATTATTTACACCATATATCATATTAGGATTTACTTAGTCGATGCTTTCATAGAATATGATATTGATGGACAGCAAAGTGCACAAAGTAATTAAGCAAACAAAAAGCAGCCCACTTAGAGGAAAAATTGCGAAGAGTAAGTTTAGTCAGAGATGCTAGGCAAACTACCAACTATAGAAAGATATTCAGCTAATTCACATCAGGGTTAAGAATATTTAGAAGAAACATTTCGGGCAAGTATGCAGTGAACAGAAGATCAGAAGAGATCAAGACTAGTTTAGAAGACATATAATCAAAAGTCACCAAAATTCAAATCAAATCTATATGATTCAATTTAACAAGCATTCACTTTTCAAATACTCTGTGCCAACACACTGTAGCAGGTGCTCTGATATTTAATATATTACCCTTGACCTCAAAGAATTTAGACCTAGAAAGGAAAGTTAGAAAAAGGCATAAGGGAATTTAAAAAACAACTCACAGTAAGATAATTGAAGAAAGTAATTGATTATTGGCCGGGTGCAGTAGCTTATGCCTGTAATCCCAGCACTTTGGGAGGCCCAGGTGGGAGGATTGCTTGAGTCCAGAAGTTTGAGAACAGCCTTGGCAATATGGTGAAACCCCATCTTTACCAAAAATACAAAAAATGCCAGGCATGGTCGTATGCACCTGTAGTTCCAGCTACTCGGGAGGCGGAAGAGGGAGGATCGCTTGATTCCAGAATGTTGAGGCTGCAGTGAGCCAACATCACACCACTGTGCTACATAACCTGGGAGACAGAGCAAGACCTTGTCTCAACAACAACAACAAAAAACAAAAACAAAAAAAAAAGAAGAAGAAGGAAGAAAGAAAGAAAAGAAAAGAAAAGAAAAAAAGTTGATTATTAAATTAGATGCCTGGGTTTGAATTCCACCAAATCACTTATTTCTTTGTCTGTTTCCTCAATGACATATGAGGACAATAAGACCATGTAGACCAGTAGACCATTTAGAAATGTTGGGTGTAAAAGTACTTTTTAATGTTTCTTCTCTCCCTGGGAATAAACTCATGGGCAGGAACTGAGGCCCTCAGGGATTTAACAACTGGACAAATAAACATGAAAAGGGCCATAGAGTTTAACTCCCAGTGCTGTTGTGAGGAAAAAGAACCCCTTAAGAAGACAGAGTTCCATGTTTCTGTGACAGGTGGTGAGTGGGAGAATCCTGGTGGCATGCGACAGGACGAGAGGAGGACATGCGGGAACTTTGGGTGAAGTGCAGAGTACATCGAAGGAATGAGGGAAAGATTGGAAAGGAAATCTGTCCTTAATTAGGTCATATGGAACCTTTGTTTTCAAGTAGGACAGTCATATTCAGAGCTGTTTGAAAAAGAAAAAAATCTGGAAATAATGTGTAAGTGCGCTGAGAGGCTGGTGATACAGAAAACAGAAAGAGTATCAGAAAGCCTTTGTCTATAGGGAAACAACATGTCCCTGAGTATCTAAGGTGGAAATGGTAGCGGGAATTACCAGGAAGGAAAGATGTGGAGAACAGGGCTAAATTTTCCTTGGATTTCATGGAAGCCCACCCTTGTGATAATGACCATGGTGGCTCATATTTGTACCACGGTAGAGACTGTCTTCTGAATAGCCTTGCTGGCTAGGGTGAGTCTATCCTGAGTAGAGGTTTGAGTCATCAGAGCTCTTCACAAAGATGAATCTGGCAGCAGTGTGGACATGGATTATGAAGAAACTGAACTCAGAAGAAGTGGGAGGTGCTGGGAATAGCTCAGGTGGTAGACATGATTTAGCAAAACTGAACTAAAATGTGTGGGTGGTGGGGCAAAGACATAAAACATGGTCGTGGCACATTTCTCCACACCATTTTTATTTTTACCCTGAGGCAGGAGAACCCTAACTGAGCCTTAAGTCCATGTCACTCACACCGCCTGCTGCACTCTTTGTCCAGGTAAGAGGTAACAGCCCAAACTGATGTGTTGGCAGTGGTTGTTGAAAAGATGAATGTGTTCCTGGCTTATAGAACATAGTCATTCATTGAATGTGGAAATCAGAATGGTGAATAGTCAAAGATGACACCAGGTTTTACAGCTTGAATGATTGAAAGAACGTTAGTTCCATTACATAAAATCAAGCAGAGAGTGGGATTTCGGTTTTGGACAGATTGAGTTGGAGGTAATGGCAGATGGACACCTAGGTAGAGAAATTCAACAGAAAGCTGGAAGTGTTGGAGTTTTAGGGAAGGAGCAGAGCTGAGTATAAAGACTTAGAAGACATACCATTAAATCTGTAGTCGAAGCCAGAGGAGCGATTAATTTCCTGAATTAATAAAGCAGTTCCTACGATGGCAGATGAAGCAACAGTATTCATCACTTCATCCTGGTTCCCACAGTCACATCGAGAGCAGATACAGCTCTCAGAGTGGAAAGAACTTTGCCTGGTTTCTTCGTATTCAGATGTAAAGGGAGAAGAGACTATGATTTAGTTGATTTAATCAGCTTAGTCCACCAGACCACATAATTAAGCCCTCTCTACCACACTTCTAGTCTCATCTGCTTTGTCCCTAAATTACTCAATTGGTATAGTGACAATGATTAAGTATCCAACTACACCACTGTGTATGGGATACAATCATTATAAATCTTAAAGGAATTGTCCAAAGAACTTAACCTGATATGATGTTCTAATAGCATGTAAAGTGAAGCTGAGTTATCAGAGGTTTATTTTATGAAGAGTTTTCTGGGGGAGGAGCCAAGATGGCCAAATAGGTACAGCTCCGGTCTACAGCTCCCAGCATGAGCGACGCAGAAGATGGGTGATTTCTGCATTTCCATCTGAGGTACCAGGTTCATCTCACTAGGAAGTGCCAGACAGTGGGCGCAGGACAGTAGGGGCAGTGCACCGTGTGCCAGCCAGAGCAGGGCAAGGCATTGCCTCACTCGGGAAGTGCAAGGGATCAGGGAGTTCCCTTTCCTGGTCAAGGAAAGGGGTGACAGATGGCACCTGGAAAATCGGGCCACTCCCACCCGAATACTGCGCTTTTCTGACGGGCTTAGGAAACAGCGCACCAGGAGATTATAGCCTGCACCTGGCTCAGAGGGTCCTACGCCCACAGAGCCTCACTGATTGCTAGCACAGCAGTCTGAGATCAAACTGCAATGTGGCAGCGAGGCTGGGGGAGGGGCGCCCGCCATTGCCCAGGCTTGCTTAGGTAAACAAAGCAGCTGGGAAGCTCGAACTGGGTGGAGCCCACCATAGCTCAAGGAGGCCTGCCTGCCTCTGTAGGCTCCACCTCTGGGGGCAGGGCACAGACAAACAAAAAGACAGCAGTAACCTCTGCAAACTTAAATGTCCCTGTCTGACAGTTTTGAGGAGAGCAGTGGTTCTCCCAGCATGCAGCTGGAGATCTGAGAATGGGCAGACTGCCTCCTCAAGTGGGTCCCTGATCCCTGATCCCCGAGCAGCCTAACTGGGAGGAACCCCCCAGTAGAGGCAGACTGACACCTCACACAGCCGGGTACTCCTCTGAGACAAAACTTCCAGAGGAACGATCAGACAGCAGCATTCGCAGATCACGAAAATCTGTGGTTCTGCAGACACCACTGCTGATACCCAGGCAAACAGGGTCTGGAGTGGACTTCTAGCAAACTCCAACAGACCTGCAGCTAAGGGTCCTCTCTGTTAGGAGGAAAACTAACAAACAGAAAGGACATCCACACCAAAAACCCATCTGTACATCACCATCATCAAAGACCAAAAGTAGATAAAACCACAAAGATGGGGAAAAAACAGAACAGAAAAACTGGAAACTCTAAAAAGCAGAGCGCCTCTCCTCCTCCAAAAGAACGCAGTTCCTCACCAGCAACAGAACAAAGCTGGATGGAGAATGACTTTGACGAGTTGAGAGAAGAAGGCTTCAGATGATCAAACTACTCCGAGCTACAGGAGGAAATTCAAACCAAAAGGTGAAGAAGTTGAAAACTTTGAAAAAAATTTAGACGAATGTATAACTAGAATAACCAATACAGAGAAGTGCTTAAAGGAGCTGATGGAGCTGAAAGCCAAGGCTCAAGAACTATGTGAAGAATGCAGAAGCCTCAGGAGCTGCTGTGATCAACTGGAAGAAAGAGTATCAATGATGGAAGATGAAATGAATGAAATGAAGTGAGAAGGGAAGTTTAGAGAAAAAAGAATAAAAAGAAATGAACAAAGCCTCTGAGAAATATGGGACTATGTGAAAAGACCAAATCTGCGTCTGATTGGTGTACCTGAACGTGACTGGGAGAATGGAACCAAGTTGGAAAACACTCTGCAGGATATTATCCAGGAGAACTTCCCCAATCTAGCAAGGCAGGCCAACATTCAGATTCAGGAAATACAGAGAACGCCACAGAGATACTCCTCGAGAAGAGCAACTCCAAGACACATAATTGTCAGATTCACCAAAGTTGAAATGAAGGAAAAAATGTTAAGGGCAGCCAGAGAGAAAGGTCGGGTTACCCACAAAGGGAAGCCCATCAGACTAACAGCGATCTCTCGGCAGAAACTCTACAAGCCAGAAGAGAGTGGGGCCCAATATTCAACATTCTTAAAGAAAAGAATTTTCAACCCAGAATTTCATATCCTGCCAAACTAAGCTTCATAAGTGAAGGAGAAATAAAATACTTTACAGACAAGCAAATGCTGAGAGATTTTGTCACGACCAGGCCTGCCCTAAAAGAGCTCCTGAAGGAAGCACTAAACATGGAAAGGAACAACCGGTACCAGCCGCTGCAAAATCCTGCCAAAATGTAAAGACCATCAAGACTAGGAAGAAACTGCATCAACTAACGAGCAAAATAACCAGCTAACATCATAATGACTGGATCAAATTCACACATAACAATATTAACTTTAAATGTAAATGGACTAAATGCTCCAATTAAAAGACACAGACTGGCAAATTGGATAAAGAGTCAAGACCCATCAGTGTGCTGTATTCAGGAAACCCATCTCACCTGCAGAGACACACATAGGCTCAAAATAAAAGGATGGAGGAAGATCTACCAAGCAAATGGAAAACAAAAAAAGGCAGGGGTTGCAATCCTAGTCTCTGATAAAACAGACTTTAAACCAACAAAGATCAAAAGAGACAAAGAAGGCCATTACATAATGGTAAATGGATCAATTCAACAAGAAGAGCTAACTGTCCTTAATATATATGTGCATCCAATACTGGAGCACCCAGATTCATAAAGCAAGTCCTGAGTGACCTACAAAGAGACTTAGACTCCCACACAATAATAATGGGAGACTTTAACACCCCACTGTCAACATTAGACAGATCAACGAGACAGAAAGTCAACAAGGATACCCAGGAATTGAACTCAGCTCTGCACCAAGTGGACCTAATAGACGTCTACAGAACTCTCCACCCCAAATCAACAGAATATACATTTTTTTCAGCACCACACCACACCTATTCCAAAATTGACCACATAGTTGGAAGTAAAGTTCTCCTCAGCAAAAGTAAAAGAACAGAAATTATAACAAACTATCTCTCAGACCACAGTGCAATCAAACTAGAACTCAGGATTAAGAAACTCACTCAAAACCACTCAACTACATGGAAACTGAACAACCTGCTCCTGAATGACTACTGGGTACATAACAAAATGAAGGCAGAAATAAAGAAGGTTCTTTGAAACCACTGAGAACAAAGACACAACATACCAGAATCTCTGGGACACATTCAAAGCAGTGTGTAGAGGGAAATTTATAGCACTAAATGCCCACAAGAGAAAGCAGGAAAGATCCAAAATTGACACCCTCACATCACAATTAAAAGAACTAGAAAAGCAAGAGCAAACACATTCAAAAGCTAGCAGAAGGCAAGAAATAACTAAAATCAGAGCAGAATTGCAGGAAATAGAGACAAAAAAAACCTTTCAAAAATTAATGAATCCAGGAGCTGGTGTTTTGAAAGGATCAACAAAGTTGATAGACCGCTAGCAAGACTAATAAAGAAAAAAAGAGAGAAGAATCAAATAGATGCAATAAAAAATGATAAAGGGCATATCACCACTGATCCCACAGAAATACAAACTACCATCAGAGAATACTACAAACACCTCTACGCAAATAAACTAGAAAATCTAGAAGAAATGGATAAATTCCTCGACACATACACTCTCCCAAGATTAAATCAGAAAGAAGTTGAATCTCTGAATAGACCAATAAAAGGATCTGAAATTGTGGCAATAATCAATAGCTTACCAACCAAAAAGAGTCCAGGACCAGATGGATTCACAGCTGAATTCTACCAGAGGTACAAGGAGGAACTGGTACCATTCCTTCTGAAACTATTCCAATCAATAGAAAAGGAAGGAATCCTCCCTAACTCATTTGATGAGGCCAGCATCATCCTGATACCAAAGCCAGGCAGAGACACAACCAAAAAAGAGAATTTTAGACCAATATCCTTGATGAACATTGATGCAAAAATCCTCAATAAAATACTGGCAAACCGAATCCAGCAGCACATCAAAAAGCTTATCCACCATGATCAAGTGGGCTTCATCCCTGGGATGCAAGGCTGGTTCAATATATGCAAATCAATAAATGTAATCCAGCATATAAACAGAACCAAAGACAAAAACCACATGATTATCTCAATAGATGCAGAAAAGGCCTTTGACAAAATTCAACAACCCTTCATGCTAAAAACTCTTAATAAATTAGGTGTTGATGGGACGTATCTCAAAATCATAAGAGCTATCTATGACAAACCCACCGCCAATATCATACTGAATGGGCAAACACTGGAAGCATTCCCTTTGAAAACTGGCACAAGACAGGGATGCCCTCTCTCACCACTCCTATTCAACATAGTGTTGGAAGTTCTGGCCAGGGCAATTAGGCAGGAGAAGGAAATAAAGGGTATTCAATTAGGAAAAGAGGAAGTCAAATTGTCCCTGTTTGCAGATGACATGATTGTATATCTAGAAAACCCCATTGCCTCAGCCCAAAATCTCATTAAGCTGATAAGCAACTTCAGCAAAGTCTCAGGATATGAAATCAATGTACAAAAATCACAAGCATTCTTAGACACCAATAACAGACAAACAGAGAGCCAAATCTTGAGTGAACTCCCATTCACAATTGCTTCAAAGAGAATAAAATACTTAGGAATCCAACTTACAAGCGACATGAAGGACCTCTTCAAGGAGAACTACAAACCACTGCTCAACAAAATAAAAGAGGATACAAACAAATGGAAGAACATTCCATGCTCATGGGTAGGAAGAATCAATATCGTGAAAATGGCCATAGTGCCCAAGGTAATTTATAGATTCAGTGCCATCCCCATCAAGCTACCAATGTCTTTCTTCACAGAATTGGAAAAAACTACTTTAAAGTTCATATGGAACCAAAAAAGAGCCCGCATCGCCAAGTCAATCCTAAGCCAAAAGAACAAAGCTGGAGGCATCACACTACCTGACTTCAAACTATACTACAAGGCTACAGTAACCAAAACAGCATGGTACTGGTACCAAAACAGAGATACAGATCAATGGAACAGAACAGAGCCCTCAGAAATAACGCCACGTATCTACAACTATCTGATCTTTGACAAACCTGAGAAAAGCAATGGGGAAAGGATTCTCTATTTAATAAATGGTGCTGGGAAAACTGGCTAGCCATATGTAGAAAGCTGAAACTGGATCCCTTCCTTACACCTTATACAAAAATTAATTCAAGATGGATTAAAGACTTCAACATTAGACCCAAAACCATAAAAATCCTAGAAGAAAACCTAGGCATTACCATTCAGGACATAGGCATAGGGAAGGACTTCATGTCTAAAACACCAAAAGCAATGTCAACAAAAGCCAAAATTGACAAATGGGATCTAATTCAACTAAAGAGCTTCTGCACAGCAAAAGAAACTACCATCAGAGTGAATAGGCAACCTACAAAATGGGAGAAAATTTTCGCAACCTACTCATTTGACAAACGGCTAATATCCAGAATCTACAATGAACTCCAATAAATTTACAAGAAAAAAAAAACCCCATCAAAAAGTGGGCAAAGGACATGAACAGACACTTCTCAAAAGAAGACATTTATGCAGCCAAAAGACACATGAAAAAATGCTCATCATCACTGGCCATCAGAGAAATGCAATTCAAAACCATAATGAGATACCATCTCATACCAGTTAGAATGGCGATCATTAAAAAGTCAGGAAACAACCGGTGCTGGAGAGGATGTGGAGAAATAGGAACACTTTTACACTGTTGGTGGGACTGTAAACTAGTTCAACCATTGTGGAAGTCAGTGTGGCGATTCCTCAGGGATCTAGAACTAGAAATACCATTTGACCCAGCCATCCCATTACTGGGTATATACCCAAAGGACTGTAAATCATGCTGCTACAAAGACACATGCACACGTGTGTTTATTGCGGCACTATTCACAATAGCAAAGACTTGGAACCAACCCAAATGTCCAACAATGATAGACTGGATTAAGAAAAGGTGACACATATACACCATGGAATACTATGCAGCCATAAAAAATGATGAGTTCATGTCCTTTGTAGGGACATGGATGAAATTGGAAATCATCATTCTCAGTAAACTATCACAAGGACTAAAAACCAAACACCGCATGTTCTCACTCATAGGTAGGAATTGAACAATAAGAACACATGGACACAGGAAGGGGAACATCACACTTTGGGGACTGTTGTGGGGTAGGGGAGGGAGGAGGGATAGCATTAGGAGATATACCTAATGCTAAATGACGAGTTAATGGGTGCAGCACACCAGCATGGCACATGTATACGTATGTAACTAACCTGCACATTGTGCATATGTACCCTAAAACTTAAAGTATAATTAAAAAAATTAAAAAAGAACAACACCACCAAAAAAAAAGTTTTCTGCACATCTCTAATTCTATTCTGCACATTACTGATCAATCATTTAAATGCTGAATATATTTTTAAAAACTAGGGAGTTTAAAACCATCAAGAACTTTTTTTCAATCATTTACCAATATCAGAAGGAAGTTCCATGAGGCTAAATTGGAAAGAATTAATTCTCACACGGAAAGATAGAAATATTTATCATATAAATGATTAAAAGCTAAGAATGATTAGAATCATAAAACTCTAATAAAAAAACTGCAGTGCAAAATTTCAGTATTTTGAAATAAGTAAGTGGCTTGCTATGAGGACTATTGCTTCTATCTGCAAAATTCATATAAATTTTAAATGCAAGGGATGGCATTTCTTGGTGGAAGGAGAAAAAAGTAGACAAGAAGCCTGGGGTTATGTTTTCTGAGACCTTGGACAAGTCATCTGCCCTGTTTGGGTGTCAATTTTCTTATAGATAGATGAGTTTAGAATAAATCCAGCTTTTCACATGCCCTCCCAGGAGCACCTTTACGGTTTGCCCTGGGAGTGGTGGTATGTGGGGGGACTGAGCTTCACCCAGGGTGGTCCCATTTGCCTTGTTTACATTTCCCTTTAGAGTTTCTTTTTCATTTAAACAAATGATTCTAAGCTTTAAAAAGTATGTTTGCAAACCCTTAGACTAGATGTTCTTCACCCATCTCTGAAATTTGTAGAGTCTAAACTATTGTATACTGGAAGTCTTATGGAATAGTCTTTTTAAAATAACATTTGCTTTGTGGACAAAGAGTAAATAATGATTAAATAAGCAGGAGGGAGTAGGGTAGAGAGAGAAGGCATGGCACATGACTGGCAACCCAAAGGCTTCATGTTGGTGGTTTCATTCTCCAGGCTTGCCAACTTCTACTCCTTCAATGCAGACCTCAACTTCTCTAAGGGCCCACCCTGACTCCTTCTGCAAATATTGCAGTCTCTGCCCTCCAGCCCCAGTCACCTTCCAACACACACAAACGCACACCCACACTTCTGATCCACCTTACTGGGCTGCACTATTTATTTTTTCCATAGTATTTGACACCTTAAGGGAAAGAGCTCTGTGTCTTTCGTTCATTGCTGTATCCCAATTTCCTTGGGTTGTGCAGGACACAAACACTTGTTGAAAGAATGGATTCTGGGTGACTGAGCCCAACTGTCATGCCTCTGAGCCCAAGCCAAGCCATCGCATACCCTGTGACTTGCACGTATATGCCCAGATGGCCTGAAGTAACTGAAGAATCACAAAAGAAGTGAATATGCCCTGCCCCACCTTAACTGACGACATTCTACCACAAAAGAAGTGTAAATGGCCGGTCCTTGCCTTAAGTGATGACATTACCTTGTGAAAGTCCTTTTCCTGGCTCATCCTGACTCAAAAAGCTCCCCCACTGAGCACCTTGCAACCCCCACTCCTGCCCGCCAGAGAACAAACCCCCTTTGACTGTAATTTTCCTTTACCTACCCAAATCCTATAAAATGGCCCCACCCCTATCTCCCTTCACTGACTCTCTTTTCGGACTCAGCCTGCCTGCACCCAGGTGAAATAAACAGCCATGTTGCTCACACAAAGCCTGTTTGGTGGTCTCTTCACACGGATGCGCATGAAATTTGGTGCCGTGACTCGGATCGGGGGACCTCCCTTGGGAGATCAATCCCCTGTCCTCCTGCTCTTTGATCCATGAGAAAGATCCACCTACGACCTCAGGTCCTCAGACCGACCAGCCCAAGAAACATCTCACCAATTTTAAATCCAGTAAGCGGCCTCTTTTTACTCTCTTCTCCAACCTCCCTCACTATCCCTCAACCTCTTTCTCCTTTCAATCTTGGTGCCACACTTCAATCTCTCCCTTCTCTTAATTTCAATTCCTTTCATTTTCTGGTAGAGACAAAGGAGACATGTTTTATCTGTGGACCCAAAACTCTGGTGCTGGTCATGGACTGGGAAGGCAGCCTTCCCTTGGTGTTTAATCATTGCAGGGACGCCTCTCTGATTATACACCCACGTTTCAAGGGTGTCAGACCACGCAGGGACGCCTGCCTTGGTCCTTCACCCTTAGCGGCAATTTCCGCTTTTCTGGGGAAGGGGCAAGTACCCCAACCCCTTCTCTCCTTGTCTCTACCCCTTCTCTGCTTTTCTGGGGACAGGGCACGTACCCCAACCCCTTCTCTCCTTGTCTCTACCCCTTCTCTGCTTTTCTGGGGACAGGGCAAGTACCCCAACCCCTTCTCTCCTTGTCTCTATCCCTTCTCTGCTTTTCTGGGAGAGGGGCAAGTACTCCTCAACCCCTTCTCCTTCACTCTTAGTGGCAAGTCCTGCTTTTCTAGAGGATGGGCAAGTACCCCAACCTCATATCTCTGCACCCCAATCCCTTATTTCCATGCCCTGACCTCTTATTTCTGTGCCCCATCCCTTATTTCCATGCCCTGACTTCTTATCTCTGCACCCAAACCCCTTTTCCCACTTTTCTGGAAGGTAAGAACCCCTGAATCCCTTCCCTCCATTTCTCTACTCTCTCTTCTCTCTAGGCTTGCTTCCTTCACTATGGGAACATTCCACCCTCCATTCCTCCTTCTACTCCCTTGGCCTGTGTTCTCAAAAACATAAAACCTCAACTCACACCTGACCTAAAACCTAAATGCCTTATTTTCTTCTGCAATGCCGCTTGACCCCAATGCAAACTCGACAGTAGTTCCAAATAGCCAGAAAATGGCACTTTGAATTTTTCCATCCTGCAAGATCTAAATAATTCTTGTTGTAAAATAGGCAAACGGTCTGAGGTGCCTGACGTCCAGGCATTCTTTTATACATCAGTCCCTTCCTAGTCTGTGCCCAGTGCAACTCATCCCAAATCTTCCTTCTTTCCCTCCCGCCTGTCCCCTCAGTACCAACCCCAAGCGTCACTGAGTCTTTCTAATCTTCCTTTTCTACAGACCCATCTGACCTCTCCCTTCCTCCCCAGGCTGCTCCTTGCCAGGCCGAGCTAGGTCCCAAATCTTCCTCAGCCTCTGTTCCTCCACCCTATAATCTTTTTATCACCTCCCCTCCTCACACCTGGTCCGGATTACAGTTTTGTTCAGTGACTAGCCCTCCCCCTCCTGCCCAGCAATTTACTCTTAAAAAGGTGGCTGGAGCTAAAGGCATAGTCAAGGTTAATGCTCCTTTTTCTTTATCCCAAATCAGAAGCGTTTAGGCTCTTTTTCATCAAATATAAAAATCCAGCCCAGTTCATGACTTGTTTGGCAGCAACCGTGAGACACTTTACAGCCCTAGACCCTAAAAGGTCAAAAGGCCGTCTTATTCTTAAAATACATTTTATTACCCAATCTGCTCCCGACACTAAATAAAACTCCAAAAATTAAATTCCGGCCCTCAAACCCCACAACAGGATTTAATGAACCTCGCCTTCAAGGTGTACAATAATAGAAAAAAGTTGCAATTCCTTGCCTCCACTGTGAGACAAACCCCAGCCACATCTCCAGCACCCAAGAACTTCCAAACGCCTGAACCACAGTAGCCAGGCGTTCCTCCAGAACCTCCTCCCACAGGAGCTTGCTACACGTGCTGGAAATCTGTCCACTGGGCCAAGGAATGCCCACAGCCCGGGATTCCTCCTAACCTGTGTCCCATCTGTGTGGGACCCCACTGAAAATCGGACTGTTCAACTCACCTGGCAGCCACTCCCAGAGCCCCTGGAACTCTGGCCCAAGGCTCTCTGACTCCTTCCCAGATCTTCTCAGCTTAGCGGCTGAAGACTGACGCTGCCGGATCGCCTCGGAAGCCCCCTAGACCATCACGGACGCCGAGCTTCCGGTAACTCTCACAGGGAAGGTAAGCCCGTCCCCTTCTTAATCAATACGGAGGCCACCCACGCCACATTACCTTCTTTTCAAGGGCCTGTTTCCCTTGCCTCCATAACTGTTGTGGATATTGACGGCCAGGCTTCTAAACCTCTTAAAACTCCCCAACTCTGGTGCCAACTTAGACAATACTCTTTTAAGCACTCCTTTTAGTTATCTCCACCTGCCCAGTTCCCTTATTAGGCTGAGACACTTTAACTAAAGTATCTGCTTCCCTGACTATTCCTGGACTACAGCTGTATCTCATTGCCACCCTTCTTCCCAATCCAAAGCCTCCTTTGCGTCTCCTCTTGTATCCCCCCACCTTAACCCACAAGTATAAGATACCTCTACTCCCTCCTTGGTGACCGATCATGCACCCCTTACCATCTCATTAAAACCTAGTCACCCTTACCCCACTCAATGCCAATATCCCATCCCACAGCACGCTTTAAAAAGATTAAAGCCTGTTATCACTCGCCTGCTAAAGCATGGCCTTTTAAAACCTAAAAACTCTCCTTACAATTCCCCCATTTTACCTGTCCTAAAACCAGACAAGCCTTACAATTTAGTTTAGGATCTGCGCCTTATCAACCAAATTGTTTTGCCTATCCACCCCATGGCGCCAAACCCATATACTCTCCTATCCTCAATACCTGCCTCTACAACCCATTATTCTGTTCTAGATCTCAAACATGCTTTCTCTACTATTCCGTTGCACCCTTCATCCCAGCCTCTCTTCGCTTTCACTTGGACTGACCCTGACACCCATCAAGCTCAGCAAATTACCTAGGCTGTACTGCTGCAAAGCTTCACAGACAGCCCCCATTACTTCAATCAAGCCCAAATTTCTTCCTCATCTGTTACCTATCTCTGCATAATTCTCATAAAAACACACGTGCTCTCCCTGCCAATCGTGTCCGACTGATCTCTCAAACCCAAGCACCTTCTACAAAACGACAACTCCTTTCCTTCCTAGGCATGATTAGCGCAGTCAGAATTCTTATACAAGAGCCAGGACCACACCCTACAGCCTTTCTGTCCAAACAATTTGACCTTACTGTTTTAGCCTAGCCCTCATGTCTGCGTGCAGCGGCTGCCACTGCTTTAATACTTTTAGAGGCCGTCAAAATCACAAACTGTGCTCAATTCACTCTCTACAGTTCTCATAACTTCCAAAATCTATTTTCTTCCTCATACCTGATGGATATACTTTTTGCTTCCTGGCTCCTTCAGCTATACTCACACTTTGTTGAGCCTCCCACAATTACTGTTGTTCCTGGCCCAGACTTCAATCCGGCCTCCCACATTATTCCAGATACCACACCTGACCCCCATGATTGTATCTCTCTGATCCACCTGACATTCACCCCATTTCCCCAAATTTCTTTCTTTCCTGTTCCTCACCCTGATCACGCTTGATTTATTGATGGCAGTTCCACCAGGCCTAATCGCCACACACCAGCAAAGGCAGGTTATGCTATAGTACAAGCCACTAGCCCGTCTCTTCGAACCTCTCATTTCCTTTCCATCGTGGAAATCTATCCTCAAGAAAATAACTTCTCAGTGTTCCATCTGCTATTCTACTACTCCTCAGGGATTATTCAGGCCCCCTCCCTTCCCCACACATCAAGCTCGAGGAATTGCCCCACCCAGGACTGGCAAATTAGCTTTACTCCACATGCCCTGAGTCAGAAAACTAAAATACCTCTTAGTCTAGGTAGACACTTTCACTGGATAGGTACAGGCCTTTCCTACAGGGTCTGAGAAGGCCACCACAGTCATTTCTTCCATTCTGTCAGACATAATTCCTCAGTTTAGCCTTCCCACCTCAATACAGTCTGATAACAGATGAGCCTTTATTAGTCAAATCAGCCAAGCAGTTTTTCAGGCTCTTAGTATTCAGTGAAACCTTTATATCCCTTATGGTCCTCCGTCTTCAAGAAAAGTAGAATGGACTAAAGGTCTTTTAAAAACACACCTCACCAAGCTCAGCCACCAAAAAGGACTGGACAATACTTTTACCACTTTCCCTTCTCAGAATTCAGGCCTGTCCTCAGAATGCTACAGGGTACAGCCCATTTAAGCTCCTGTATAGATGCTCCTTTTTATTAGGCCCCAGTCTCATTCTAGACACCAGACCAACTTAGACTGTGCCCCAAAAAACTTGACATCCCTACTATCTTCTGTCTTGTCATACTCCTATTCACCGTTCTCAACTACTCATACATGCCCTGCTCTTGTTTACACTGCCTGTTTACACTGTTTCTCCAAGCCATCACAGCTGATATCTCCTGGTGCTATCCCCAAACTGCCACTCTTAACTCTTGAAGTAAATAAATAATCTTTGCTGGCAGGACTATGTGAATCTCCTTAGGCACTCTCTAATCAGATATCCTAAGTTATCCTAATTCTTAGACCTTTTATACCTGTTTTTCTCCTTCTGTTATTCCATTTAGTTTCTCAATTCATCCAAAACTGTATCCAGGCCATCACCAATCATTCTATATGACAAATGTTTCTTCTAACATCCCCACAATATCACCCCTTACCACAAGACCTCCCTTCAGCTTAATCTCTCCCACTCTAGGTTCCCAAGCCACCCCTAATCCAACTTGAAGCAGCCCTCAGAAACATCGCCCATTCTCTCTCCATACCACCCCCCAAAAATTTTCGCTGCCCCAACACTTCAACACTATTTTGTTTTATTTTTCTTATTAATATAAGAAGGCAGGAATGTCAGGCCTCTGAGCCCAAGCCAAGCCATCACATCCCCTGTGACTTGCACGTATATGCCCAGATGGCCTGAAGTAACTGAAGAATCACAAAAGAAGTGAATATGCCCTGCCCCACCTTAACTGATGACATTCCACCGCAAAAGAAGTGCAAATGGCCGGTCCTTGCCTTAAGTGATGACATTACCTTGTGAAAGTCCTTTTCCTAGCTCATCCTGGCTCAAAAAGCACCCCCACTGAGCACCTTGCAACCCCCACTCCTGCCCGCCAGAGAACAAACCCCCTTTGACTGTAATTTTCCTTTACCTACCCAAATCCTATAAAACGGCCCCACCCCCATCTCCCTTCACTGACTCTCTTTTCGGACTCAGCCCACCTGCACCCAGGTGAAATAAACAGCCATGTTGCTCACACAAAGCCTGTTTGGTGGTCTCTTCACACGGACGCGCATGAAACCAACTTTTAAACCAAGGATACCTGGCCAGTTCCAAGCCACCATTGCAAAATCCTCTCCTCTCCTGGCCTCTCATTCTCCCCAAGTGCTCTTCTCTCTGAGTCCCTTTTTCTGAATCACGTGAGTGATAGTTTGATGCCATCCAAATCTTATTAGGTCTTAATTTATGATGAAGACAACTCAGGGCTATCTGGCCAGTCCCAGGGTTTTAAACCTTCGAGGAGGACTTTTGGAGGATGAAAACAGCTTTTGGTACCTTTGCAGTTGGGAAAATTAGTGTTTTGAGAAGGAGGCTGCATCCTTCCTACTTCGTATGGTGAACTTGGGCACAGAAGGCAGAGTCACAGAGCTTGGAGAATGCAATTTTAAAAAATTCATGCAAGGGGTGGGGCTTGGGGAGAGAAGGGAAATGTCACCAGTACTCCTACATACACTGTTGGAGGAAAGATATAAGTACCATTTACTTGGCACCTGTTACTGACTGGGAACTATACCAGCCACTCTAATAGGCTAGTTTTAACATGTAGGTTTTACCATTATCCAGGTATGGTGAGGCACAGGTCAGAAGATGACTGCCATTGGAAAGATGGTTTGTCACTCACAGTTCCCAGGAGGAGGGGCATGTCACACCATGGGAGCCCACATGGGGAGTCAGGAGGCAAATGGAGTGAAGAGTAAGCACGGCCACAGCCTCTATTGTGGCTTCCGTGGAAGGAATGGGGGAACCAGGGTGAGCAGGCTTAGGATCTGCTAGTGTGAATAATTTCAGCAGGCTCTGGGGCATGGACGTGGCACCTAGTTGTTATCTGGACCTGGGGTGATTAGGGCAGGGGAGGTGGCCCTGAATGGGAGAGATTATGGAGATGGTTGGGGAAAGGGCTCTGGATCGGTTGGTTCCATATAAAAAGTACACACACAGGGGAGTTATTTGCTCTTCCTAGGAATTGGCTAACCCCAAGAAGGGCAGGCCCTTCAGGGTCAGAAAGGCCTCAGATGTCAAGGCATCAGAAATACAGAAAATAGAGGCATGATCAATACACTTATTTTATTTAAAAACATGAAGATTTGAACAAAACAGTCATCCACCTGTCTGCGACAAAGAATTATTTGCATCCATAAAGGAGAAGACAAATGTCATCCTTGTTGTGGAACGGGCAGAGTACAAGGGAAAAGAGAAAATATAGATCCACCTCCCACCTCTCACTCAGGCCATGGAACCACTAAACAGGAAAAGACGAACTTAACGCAGACTGGAAAAATGACACAAGATGAGCTGCCACCCTCTCCGTACCACACAGTGTACTTGCATAAAGCCTCACGGCTCCACAAGAAACCCTTTGTGAAGGGTTGTCCATTTGCCAAAAACACCTCCTCTGCCTGTATTTCAGCAAAGGGCAGAAAGCTCTGTACTGTGTCTCCTAAAAGGTTTGGGGAAACTAAATCTAGAAACTTTCTCTCTTAACTTTCGTGAAACTCCTGAACAAAGCTTAGGAGAATGTGGGTGATGGGGATGATGGTGTTTTTTTTGTTTGTTTGTTTGGTTGTTAGGTTGGTTGGTTGGTTGGTTGGTTGGTTGGGTTTTTACCTTTTAGTTTAGGTTCAGGGGTACATGTGTAGGTTTGTTACATAGGTAAACTCATGTCACAGGAGTTTGTTGTACAGATTATTTCATCACCCAGGTATTAAGCCCAGTACCCAATAGTTATCTTTTCTGCTCCTCCCCCTCCTCCCACCCTTCTGCGCCTCCCCCTCCTCCCACCCTTCTGCGCCTCCCCCTCCTCCCACCCTTCTGCGCCTCCCCCTCCTCCCACCCTTCTGCGCCTCCCCCTCCTCCCACCCTTCTGCGCCTCCCCCTCCTCCCACCCTTCTGCGCCTCCCCCTCCTCCCACCCTTCTGCGCCTCCCCCTCCTCCCACCCTTCTGCGCCTCCCCCTCCTCCCACCCTTCTGCGCCTCCCCCTCCTCCCACCCTCCCCCATCAAGCAGACCTTAGTGCCGGTTGTTTCCCTCTTTGTGTTCAGGAGTTCTCATCGTTTCACTCCCACTTACAAGTGAGAACATGCAGCACTTGACTTTCTGTTCTTGCATTCATTTGCTAACGATAATGGCCTCCAGCTTCATCCATGTTCCTGCACAAGACGTGATCTTGTTCTGATGGTTTTAACCGTAAACACTGTTCATTTTCTTTTGGGTGACATTGGCTTCTTAAGATGAAATCAACTCATTTTAACCTCAAAGATCTTCGAAAATGCACACAAGTTTTTTCATTCCAATTGAAGGAAAGATGTGGGTGCCCTAGCCTGCTTCACCAAATTCCAGCTACGAAAAACCCTCTTCTATTTGTGATCGATTCCAGTGGGAATGTTTTAGACGAGTGGATAAACCTCCACCCACGTGGGTGACTCTTACTCCCGTGCTAGGTGCAGAACTGCCGGGATGGACACACCCAAATCTGGTATTGAAAGTAGTTTCTGCTAAAATTTGATTCTGATCTGAGTTTCCGGTAGGAAATAGCTGCATAATAATGTTTAGTGTGTACATATTTTGAGGTGGAGGAAAACAGCGAAGTGTAGTTTCTGTAGTTTGCAACACTCAGAAGCGGTAATTGGGCTGGCATCAGATGGCACCTGTGCTGGGGCCTCCTGTACCACGGCCAGACGCACTCCCCAGAACCCCACACGGCACGTGTGGGCAAGGTTTGACTTGGAGCATGGAAATAAATCAGAGGTCATCATTTTAGTCTTTTTTTTTTTTCAAGATAGCAATTTGTGGCAACTTTTGTTGGGTATTTAACATAATAGCTGCCTGTTAGAAACTACCTTTGGAAGTTTTAAAGTTTTAAAATGTCAACTTTCCGGCAAATTTTCTTTATTTAAAATTTTTTTTCAAAGTATAGGAGGAATATGATAATGAGAAAAAAAATTAATTTGGAAGAAAATTACACTACATTTAAAAATTTAGAAAAGCTTAAAGCAATATTTCTCATTCAGAGAAAATCCCTGTAATGTGGTATTATTTTTTTTTAGCATTTTTCCTATTGCTTTCTTTTCTCTTCTTCGCTCTCTTTGGGTCATATTACATCTATCATTTTGAACCCTACTTTTTGACATTTAACTTTGGATCAAAAATATTTTCCTATGCGATAGAAAAAATCATGACAGCATCATTTTAAATGGCCTTAAATAATATTCTGTCATATGGCGTGCTCTCATTTATTTAACCATCCTCTTATGTTATATTTTTTCTAATTTCTTATTAATTTAAAATAATGATGCAATTAATATTTTTGTACATAAATATTCCTGTGCACTTATAACATGGGGTAAAATATTTTTAAAGATTTTCTTGTCCTTCAAATTATCCAATGTCCCTCCCCCTTTTTTTTGCCAACATCAAAAAAGGAAGATTTCATCACAGAGAAAGATCAAAACGAGAGAGAGAGAGAGCAAGAAAGAGAGAGGAGAGAGAGCGCCAAAGTTTTACTTTTTGAGTTTTAAAACTCATAACAGAGACGTAATCCTGAAAATCTATGTTTTTGGTTGACAGGAGCAGACTTTTTTAAAAAACAGAAAAATTTTTCTTTTTGCTTTGCATTCAAAGAATTAAACCTATAAGGAATTGAGGCATAGATTTCATGTTATAAAGAAAAGATTGGAAGCAAGGGTTCTTAAGCTGGTGTTTGTAAAGAGACCAAAATTTCAAGATAATTTGTTTCCCATTATATTCCTAAGTATTTTATTTTATGTATCTGAAACATTGTTTCTGAAAAGGAACTCACAGGGCTCATCAGGCCACCAAAGGGGCCCGTGACACCAAAACAGTTAAGTGTCCCAGTTTGGTGACGGGCAGATGACATCCCCTTCAAAAGACCCATCACTGGTACCTCTTGCTAGTTTTGGGTCTTTGAGGGAGAAACTTCCTCCGTGTGTGTGTGTGTGTGTGTGTGTGTGTGTGTGTGTGTGTGTATGTGTGTGTGTTTGAAACATAGTACAGATACTACCCCATCCCAACCTTAGTTCTATTTTGGGAGCCCAAAAAATAGAGAAATGTGTATTTTACATGGCAGCATGGAGTCCTAGCACTTCAGAGGGTTATGACTGCGCCTGAGTCTCCCCCTGCCTCAAGGAGACACAGGGTGGCTGAGAGAGACTGAGCCGGCAGGTGCAAAGGACCACTCCACATGGGGCAGCAGGAGGCCAGAGCACAAGGCATGATGGACCCTTCACCTGGGGCCCAGGAGAGATGCTGTTTCAGCTCAGGTGAGGCCACCAGGAATGGTGAGGACCCAACTGGACATGGCATATCCGCCCAAGTCAGCAGGGAGAATGCTGACTGTCAGAGAATACTGGGAAGATGAACATGGGCCATGTCCAAACCCCCATCCTCTCCCTCTCTTTCTCCAGCTCTGAAATGTGTTACCAGGGGGGCAAGAGAGACTCTCAGATCTGTGAGTGTAAAGCCCAAATCACTGAAAAGCAGAAGTAACAGGTTTTCACTGAAATTGACTGGATCTTATTTTTTAACTCCAGGAGGTATGAGAACTTGAAATCGACATTTAGTCACAGAAAAATAGAAGTTCTTTTTTTGTACCCTTCAATTTCATGATCTGTGAAAACATCACATATTCGGTAAGTTTCTTTAGATGGTAAATTTCTGATCTAATAACAAACATTTTACTAAGACTCTTTATATATACATTTAATGATTTTTCATAAAAGCTCTACTAATTATTCTCCCAAGCCACAAGCTCACTAGTACTGAGTATTATCATAATTTAAATATTTCCCAGTTTGATTTTTAAAAGCACAGTTATCTGGTATCCAATTTTACCATAATTTGAAGCCATTTGTATTCTTCTGTGAAATATGTATTCAAGACCATTGCTCATTTTACTTTATGGGTATTAGTTCTTTTATTGATTTGGTTGATCTTGCCTACATTCCTTCCCACCTCCACCTGCCTTTTTTTTTTCTTCTTCTTCTGGTGAATAGTTATTTTGTTCTGTTCAGGTTTGCAAACTATATCTTCAACCAGCTTAAGAAACAAAGAACCTCCAGTTTCCTTGGACAACTTCTTAGGAGAGGAGGAGAGATTGTAAAGCAACAATAACAACAAATTTCTCAGCTAAGAAAGTCTCAAAGTTCCCGCTTTCTACAAGATTGTTCTTGTTTTAGAAAGGAAGACTGGATCATGTAGCAATGACTGCTGGTGACCTATTCAATGTCCACCAATATTCTTCTGTATTACCGAAACTCTGCTTCTTTTGGAGTATCAATACACTTCATTTTCCAGCTTTTGTTGCAACCAGCACAGCCATGTAACCAGTTCTAGCCATCAGGATGTGAGCAGCCCTTCTGGCAGGGCTGTCTCATAGGAGATGACAGCATGAAACTGCCATAATCATCACAGACTGCTTTGCTCTGGACTTCGTTGTGAGTGTAAGCTTGTGTGTATTAAAGCACTGGTACTAACTGTACTAAAGTACAGTTAGCTGAAACCCATCCTAACAGAGAGACCCAAAGAGTTCATGCACTCTGTTCCTAACCAAGAAAATTCATGAAGGTAGAATGTAAGGGTCTCCAGAGGAGCATGGTGCTGGCTGTTCTAATGGTTTTTGAAAAGGAAATGCAAAAAGGAAATCCCATCAAATTCTTGATAGCACAAAAAGCTTTGCTTTTGGCATAGTCAGGGCTCAGACAGAGAGTACTTAGGCTTTTAAATTAAGTGTCTGTCAGCTTTTAACATTTGGGGAGATTTCTATATTAAATATATGAACAATGACCTTAGCAAAGAATTCCAATTTTATTGCTGGTGCTGGATATAGAAAGCAAAGAGGGTGTCCTTCAGGGAAGTGACTGGGTGGGTGTCATGTGGCTCCCCTGTCACTGGCCCAATTCATCTCCCAACCTATCACTCATTTTACATTGTTCCAAAATGTTAGATGCCTAAAGAGTAAGGTCCAAATGCTACAAGCCTACTTCAGACCTCTGCACAACACTGCCCTGTCTGAATATTCTAGCCTCCCTTTCTTCTGCAGCTCACATACGCACTTAGGACACATTTGATGCCTCACTGTAAGATAGTTTCGTGTTTCTTTACTGTTGCTTCTACTGTCCTTTTAACCTGACATACTCTTATCTCAAGCATCTGTCCATTCATTCATATGTACATTTAACCAATATTTATTGAATATTTGTTAGGCATCAGGCAGGCATTAGGATAGGTGTTAGGGTTACCCCAACAAACTTGTTATGGTTCTAGTCCCTAACAAAATTCCACTTACCACCCATGCACCCAACGGCTTAGCTCAAGGCTCCCCGCCCCCCTACCCGGCCCATGAAGCCTTCCTCTGCTCTCCGCTCTTATTCCTTAAGATTTCCTGGCTATTTTTGGCTCACTGCATTTTCATATAAATCTTGTAATCACTTGAGTCAATTTACAAATACACACACATGTAATCTCCTGGGATTGCATGAGGCTGGGGATACATGTAGGAAGAGTCGACATGTTTACAAGTGAGTCTTCTGATTGACAAATGTCCTAGATCTACTTATTTACTATATCTACTTATTTAGATCTCCCTTTGAGTTCCCTCTCAGAGATGCTTTGTGGCTTTAGAACACAAATCTCATATACCTCTTTAAAATTTCTATTTAAGTATTTAATATTCCTCGATGCTGTTGCAAATCCTGCAATTGCAAGATTTTATTTTCTCTGTGTTGCAGGTCTATAGATATAGAGGTGATTTTTTTATACTGACCTTACATGCGGAGACTGCGTAAAGAGACATTAAATTTAAGTTGTTTGCAGATTCTTTTGGATTTTTCTTCATATAGAGACAGTTCATCTGTGTCTAGTAAGTTTTTTCTTCCTTTCCAATGATTCTGCCCTTTATACGTTGGCTTGCATTATTGCCCTGGCCTGGACTTCCAGGACCATGTAGGTTAGAAGTGGTAAACAGTAGGCACCCTTATTTCTTTCCACCACTTGAGGGAAAGCTTTCACTATTTTGCCTTTAATTTGCAGTTTGGGTAAGCCTCCTCTGGGCTGATCCTCTTCCGGCAACATGAACTTCCAGGGCTTTGACTGAGGCTGGTGCATCCCAGGAACACTGCCTCTCCTGGGAACTGAACTCTAACCTGGGTCTCCAAGGCATCGTCACACTGCAGAAAACTCGACCCAGCTCTTCTGATGTACTCAGCTTAGCTTTCCTATGTCCTTCCCTTGCAGCTTCAGAATTCAGCAAATGTCTTGAGGGGGAAGCTGGTCCTGTGTTGAAGGCCCTATTGTGTTGCACATCCTGGCTACCTTCCCTGAGCTCTGCTGAAACCTCTGCATCCTGCCCGCTGAGAAGGGGTTTGGGTAGAGTTTAGATGCCAAGCTTCTCGTTCTCACCCAGAACTCACAGTGAACCCACAGTGCCCCAGGATAAAAGGCTGGTGCAGATTCTCCCCTTTGCTGTCTTTCAGCCTCTCTACCTACATTGCTTCAACAGCTCCTTGGTACCTTTAAAACAGATAATTTTTGGATTTTATCTGTTTCATCTAGTTGTTCTGATTTTCAGGATTAGTCTGTCACCAATATCTCCATCTTACTCAAAAGCAGAAGTCCCATAAAAGCTTTTTCATATGTGCTTCCAAATTTATCTTTGATTTATTATACACTTCCAAATTTATTCCTCCTTGGGAGGTGGAGTATGAGGATCAAAGCAAACTCTGGAGGTTTTCTAGGGTCTCCACCTGAAGAACAATCATAAGGTTATTCCCAGAACTGAGAGAACTGCAGAAATTAAGGGCCAGTCGATGGAGTCAAGTTAACTTTGGATAGATCTGAAAGAGAGGGCAACAGGGCATTGCATCCAGGCTCTGATTGGAGCAGTTCATCTAATCTCCAAGTCTTTATTTCATCTGTCTACTGCATTAACAACTTCCCACGTCAATTGCCAAGACAAACTAAAACAATCATAAAAAACAAACTTGTCGTATATGTCTAGATGTACAAAGTTTTGCTTTGGGAAGTAATGAAGAAATATAAGACATCATGAACTCAAGACTCCTTGAGACAAGGCACGGCAATTAGATCCTCACTTATGTGGCCCTTGGACGTCCCGACTTCAACAAGCATCCTTCCATCTCTGCAAACACAGCTTCGGGACCGAAACCAGTTGGAGACCCAGGAGTGATCACTTAACTGGGACTTGAATGGAAAAACGCTCAAAGAATATCAGGCTGTGAACTGGGCATTTTCAGTGAGGACAGAATGCAAAGGAAAGAAAAGGAGAAGCTGTAAAATGCCTATTGACATTTTTCTGGGCAAGGAAGAAAAATGTGTTCACCTGCCTTCCAGGGCCCTTTTATATTGCCCTAAATTCTGCTACTTGTTCTCCTATTCAATCTTGTATCAGATTTCCTTCTCAGAAAAAAAAAAAAAAAGGCTGACATGAAGAATAATTCATATTCATAGAGTCAATTCTGCTGAAAATAATCCCTAGGGCTTTAAAGCACTGCATCCCGAATTAAAATGCTCTGGACGCTCAGGGTTTGGGCTTGTGTCTCTCCGGGGATGCCATTCATGGTTTATGCATATTAGGTTATTTTCCAAATTCTGCTGTTTTGCTCTGGAAAACAGATTTAAAAATCCAGTTGAGATACATCTGGAAGACTTTAAAAACTGGGAAAGATTCTCATCTGGATGGGATGGTTTAAGTGTGATGCTGCTTGAATTTGGAGCCAACGGCCATAAGATCTTTCCAGGCCGTTTCCAAGACTTGAATTTTATAATACTATGAATATCTAACCAACAATCCCCTCAGGGATAGATTTCAAAATTGGACATTATGTGAAAAAAAAATCAATTAATTTTTTTTTTTTTTTTTTTTTGATGTAGTAGAAAGGCCCTGAGCTGGGATTTTTAAAATATGGCTTCTTGTCCCAGCTCTCTCCTAATTAGATGAATGACTTGGGAAGTCACGTAACCTTCATGGGCCTCAGTTTCATTGTCTGCAAATGAGTATTTGCTTGATAATACCCAATGTCTCTTTGAATTGCCTGTCCAATAGAGGTTTTAATTATTTATTTTCCATTTGTCCGCTTCCCTCTATATTCCATTGTCATTTCCTGGTCCTCATTCCAAGTAATGCATTGATTCTGGCTTCTCCTCTCACTAGCTGTGCAACTTTAGGCAAGTTACTTAACCTTTCTGTGCTCGGAAAAACAGTCTTCATATTGTCTGCCTCATAGAGTATTGTGAGGATTAAATGATTAATGCATGTGAATTGCTTGGCTCAGTAATAAGTAAATAAATGCTAGCCTCTATTCATTATTTTCAATAGACTGGTTTCATTTACTCAAGAGTATAGCTGATGCACTTTATTCCTGGATAACAAGGATAGAGTTGAGGTCATTATTATCAAGAGTGGCCTCCATTTATTGAAGAAAAGTAAACCTATTAGATTATTGACTCTTTTTCTCTTGCCTAGTCTCAAGTCATTGATTCAGGAGCTCTGCAGAGTAACATGAACTTGAATATCTCTTTCCATCCAGAGCTCTTTCCCTACCCTTGTGTGAACACACAGAATGAATCGTGAAGGTCTGATCTCAATTCAGAGACCTTGAAAGCAAGATCAAGCAGAGGCTTGTCTTTGGCTCCCCCAAGTCTGCAGTACAGGTTGGAATAATCAACATTCAATTGTAGGAAAAAAATGCATAGATTCCAAGTGAAACACTAGTATCACTGAGTAATAGGTTTTAGGAAAATAGATTCAATTATTTGGGGTGATATAATTACACACTACATACTGTAAAATGCTCAGCTCGTAAGTGCACACAGTATGAGTGTTGACAACAGTATACACTACCTGCCCAATGCCCCAGTTGGAATGCAGCGTCAATTCTAGGAAGTTCCCTGCGCCCCTGTCTATCAGGGGGTCTCCTACATCAGCAGCACCTATGATTTTGCTTCCTATCCCCATAGATTAGTTTTGCCTGTTCTTGAACTTCCTATAAATGCACTTTTTGGGTCTGGCTTTTTTTACTCAGCCTAATGTATTTGAGATTAATCCCTGCTGCTGTATGTATCCACTCATTCCTTTTTAGCGCTATGGAGTTAGTATTCCATCGTGTGACTGTACTGTTAATCTGTTTATTCCTTTTGCTGCGCATGGACCTTTGGGCTGTTTTCCTTTCATGCTATTATGAATAAACCTGCCAAGAATGTAGAGAATGACTGCTGCAATGAAGTGATTTTTTCCCTGAACTTTGAAAGTTTTCTGCCATGCGATTATATTTTCTTAAAAAATGAAAGATTTAAAATGCATCTCAAGGTCAGCTCAAGTCTTCCCTCTTTCATAAAGAATTCAGTTCCTCCCCCTAGGGCCCCCAGGCTTCTTTTCTGAACAGCTTTTGCGCGTGCCCACGCACAAATGCAAGCGTTTCGCACACTGCCATCGTGTGGCTTGCTTTTGGACTCTCTTTTAATATTCCTATTGTCTCTTGTGAAAGAGGCTTATCTCCTTCTCAAAGGAAAACTTTGTACATCTAGATATATTTGACAAGTTTGTTTCTGATGATTGTTTTTAGTGGGTCTTGGCCATTGAGAGGGGAAGCTGTTAAAGTAGTAGAAAGATGAAACAAAGGCGTGGAGATAACATGAACTGCTCTAATCAGAGCCCGGACGCAATGTCCCATCCAGTGATTCCAGGGCCCCTTACTCAGGTGAAGGGAAATGCATTGATTTGGAATTTCTGTTACTTGCCCTTTCCTTCCCAGTTCAGAGCACAGGCCTGCTGAAACTGGCTTCACTGTAACTATCCCCAAATATTTCCCTGTGCGCCCCCAGAGCACGCTATTGGAGGAATGTCTGTAAAATCCCTATTCAGACGATGTTCTCTCAGTGGGATGTAAATAGAAACCTAGCTCTGATTGTGTTCATTGTCACAGCACAGATGGGGGTTTCTAGCCTTTAGATGTTGTGTGGTGTGTGCGTGTACTTGTTTGTGTGCGATGTATATGTGTGTTTGCACATGCTTGTGTGTGTGTGCTGTATATTCGTGTGATGTGCAGTGGTGGGCATATATGTGTGTGTAGTGTGTGGTGTGTGTGGTATTTATATGTGTAATGTGTGTGTGCATGTGGTGTGTGTATTTTGCGGGCATATGTGTGTGTGGGAAATGAATGTGTATCTGCGTGTGTGTGTAGTATATTTGTAGTATAGTTTTGTGTGTGTGTGATGTTTCTATGTATATGTGCACGTGTGGTACATGTATTTTTGTGTGCATATGTATGTGTGTGATGTGTGTATGTGTGGTGTGTGTATTTTTGTGTGCATATGTGTGTAATGTGTGTGTGTGGTGTGTGTATTTTTGTGTGCATATGTGTATGTAGATATGTGTGTGCCTGCAGATTTGTGTGTGCATATGTGTATATGAGTGTGTGTGTGCATGTGTGATGTGTTATTGTGTCTCTGTGTCTAGTGTGTACTTGTACACACAAACATGCATGTACACACCTGCACACATCTCTCTTCAGTTCTAAGAGGAGTGATGAAAAAACAGAATTGCTAGGATTAAAAGTGGGAATTGAACAATGAGAACACATGGACACAGGAAGGGGAATATCACACTCTGGGGACTGTTGTGGGGTGGGGGGAGGGGGGAGGGATAGCATTAGGAGATATACCTAATGCTAAATGAGGAGTTAATGGGTGCAGCACACCAGCATGGCACATGTATACATATGTAACTAACCTGCACATTGTGCACATGTACCCTAAAACTTAAAGTATAATAAAAAAAAAGTATCATAGAAATAAATGAGTGAGTTGTTTAGTTATTTGATGATAGAATATCAGCTCTGGCTGCTGAGTAGTGAGAACCGGAGGGGCGAATCCCTAGAGAATGTTATGTGTTCTTCTCTAAAGCCCACAGAATGGCCATGCTCCCACTCTTCCATCCTACTTTTTCTATCAGTCTTCCCTTTCGTAATTGCTGCCTTAGATGGCCTGAGCTTATATATTAAGATCATAGTTTCTTTTACATTTGTTCTTCATTCACGTATTTTATTTTAATGAAAGCGTGCAGAAGAAAACCTAAAAGTACTTTAAAAGCAAATATTTAATGAGTCTTTAGTTAATGGTAATGAATAGCCCTATAGAAAAGAAACATTATTTTCACAATGTTAGAAACACAGTAATAGTTTATCAAAGCTTTATTAGAGTGCTTAATTTAAGTGTTTCAAATCAGAAAGGGTTTTTATAAATGTATTCAAATGTTAAGTAAGGCTGGGCACGCGGCTCATGCCTGTAATCCCAGCATTGTAGGATGCCAAGGCGGGCGGATCACTTGAGGCCAGGAGTTCGAGACTAACCTGGCCAACCTGGTAAAACCCCATCTCTACAAAAAGACAAAAATTAGCTGGGCATGGTGGTGCATGCCTGTAATCCCAGCTACTCGGTAGGCTGAGGCATAAACCCGGGAGGCAGAGGTTGCAGTGAGCCGAGATGGGGCCACTGCACTCCAGCCTGGGCAACAGAGCAAGACACCATCTCAAAAAAATAAAAAATTTAAGTAAGCATAAAACTAAAATTAGAATTTTATTCTTGATTTTTATTATATATGGTAATGTAGTTTTACTGAATATCAACTAACAGTAAATTCAAAATAATGTTTATATATTTTATTATCATGAAATATTACCTATTTATTGTAGAAAATTACAAAATAAAGATTAGCAGAGAGAAAAATACTTACCAACTCAAGAGGATTTCTGTAGGAATTATGGCACATAATAGATATGTGTATACTTTTATGTATATATTATTTATAGAAACAGATATAGAAAGATAAATACTAATATATATGGGTATATGTTTGTATATGTGTAGGTATTTATAATATGATATTTATGTATATGTATATGTATATATTTATGGATATATACACAAAATAAACTGATCATACACTTATTTTTTTCACTTATGATAGGTTATAAACATATTTACATATCAATAAACATTCACCTACAGGATTGTCAATAATGTGAATGGAATTTTCATTCTAACAATGCTGTATATACACACAATTCTCTTGGTAGAATTATTAGGTTGCTTTCAGTTTTTAATTATAAAAAACCTATTGTGAAATTTTGCTTCTAGATGAGATGAAATAACAGAAGCCAGGTTTACCACCCCCCCAACTAAAAAATGAGACAAAATATGAATCAATGGTTTTTGAGACATTGGATATTGGACATCGGACATCAGTCATCAAAGGAAAGAGATGAGAACAAACAAAGCTAAGCCCCAGCTTGTAGTCTTAAAGGGATTCAAGACCACAGTGAAGAAGGGAAAACTCTGACAGAAACTGGCAGACTCCCTGACTTGTTAAGGATGATGTCTGGGGAGATCAGAGTGGTGAGAGTTCACAGCAGAGAGCACTGGGAAGGAGAGAGCTGCATAAAAGAAGATTATGGATGTCTGCAGGCCATCCTCCTCAAGTGTTTGGCAGAGCACTGATCAGAGCATGCATGTGAGGAAACTACCTGAGTCTTTCTTTCTCTGGAAGAAAGAACCACATGAAAAGATTAGTGGAACTGTAGCTGGAGCTCACATGAGCCTGGGAATAGTATCCATTTCCTCCAGCCAGGTTGGAAAATTTCCTAATTCACAGGACACTGGGTAGAGTGTTTAGGAGGATCTTGCCCTGGTAGTAGGGAACAATTAGCCCTAGACTAGGCTTATCAGGTGGAACTAGAGGGGTGTTAATCTAGCCTAAAAGATCAAACTGTTTCCAAGTAACTTAGCTGCGTCCCAGAAGAAAGCTCAAGAATATTCAGAGGAATATAAAAATATCCAGTGTTCTAAACCAGGCAAAGTTGCAATGTCTCTCATCTAATCGAAAATTGCCAGGCAGGTGAAGAAGCAGGAAAAACATATTGCAATGAACGACATTATCAGTGACATTTTGAGGGAATCTTTCAATTTGTCCACTCACAGCTGACCTAGCAGGAGGTGGACACCTGCCCCAGAGCAGGTTAGAGATCATCCTTGGGCAGCCAGTTACCTAAGGCCTCTCACCTGACTTTTCACAATGAGTAGAACCAATCAGCTACCTCTTTTCTTAATTTAAACTAAGAAGCAGAAAGAAGTTAGCAGTCGGTGGCGGATAATTGAGCTGAAAGGTCATATAAAGTTATGTGTGCGGTGTCATTATTACCCTAAGTACACATTGCAATTATGAAGAGCAGAGACTCAGAGTTAGAATGGAGCAGATCTATGTCCTATAAATCAAACAAGGTCAGCAGAAGGGGAAATGGGAGTAAGAGAGATGATTGCACTCAAGATGCTGCAGCTCTTCAGATTTTGAATCCTGGTTTTTCAGCTTTTTTTGAATTGCCAGAGCTCTATACCCTTATACCAGTGATCCTTACTTGGGAGTGGTTTGGGTTTCCCACTCCTCCCAGGAGACATTTGGCAATATCTGAAGGTATAGGGTTGTCACAGCTAGTGAGGGGCTGCTACTGGCATCTAGTGGATAAAATCCAGGGACGTTGCTAAGTATCCTACAATGTGCAGGACAGCCCCTACAACAAAGAATTATCTGTTCCCAAATGTCAACAGGCCAAATTTGAGAAATACTGCCTTATGTTAACCTCTTTTTGAACCTGAGTTACTTTGCACGGGTTTCTCTTTTTTATAAATAAGAAATGCTTCTGTCAAACACCACCGTAGCTAAGGCTTTGTTCACATCCTCATTATTTCCTTAGGTTAAATTGCTAGAACTAGACTTGTGGGGCGGAGGTAGGGTCAAAGAGCATGCATTGTTTCAAGAGTTCAGATATACACGGCCAATTAATGTAGCATCCTTTAACAGTTTACTCATGTGTACTGAAATCGAAGGCCAGATCAGGCTTTATGTTAGGAGAACAGCTCATCAACCTTAGCATGCATCTTTGTCTCTCATCCCTAACCTTCTCCTCTTTAGAATATCTTTCTTGGTGTCAACTCCAGGCAACTCTGCAACACATGTTGTACCACTCCTTTCCCTGTGTCCAAGACAGGCATTCATTCAACATACAGCAAGTGCTAACTGAGTGCTCACCATGTGCCTGAGAGTTCTTCCTCACACAATGCTCCAAGCAGCCACTGCTAATCAGTCAGAATTGGCACATGAAATTTAAATGAACAATAGCCCAAACGGCAAAATAACGATCAATCATTTCTGCCCTTTTGTACGGTTAAATCAAGGACATTGCTGTGAGATTTCTCCTCCTTTCTTCTTTTTCTATGTAAAGAGCAGGGGAATCATTGTGCAGACCAGAGCTGATACAAGCTCCCCTACTTTTGAGTCACTTCAGTGTTACACCTGACCCTTCCTTTCTCCAGAGAGAGGAAAGCTTGTTTTTTTCCACCTATTTGCCCTAGCAATAGGTCAGTAAGTGTGTTGCCTTAGGGAAAGCTGTAAGGCACACCAGAACGAACCAAAACCAAAACAAAACCCTCTTTACAGTTATTTTTAGAACGCCTGAAACCCTAATTACTTCCCTTTTAGATAGTTATTAGTGAGAAACTTTTTTCCAACAACAACAAAAAAACAACACTTACCTATGAAAATTATGTATCTTTTTTGTGTGATCCTAAAATAATGTTCCAGACTCTTGAGTCTGCCTCTGTTTTCCCACATTCCAGGACTATCTGGTTCAATGTGCAGCTGCTCAGATGTGCAGGAGGTGTTAGGACCTTAACCTTCCATCATCCCTGGGAGGGGTGTGTATTTCCCTCATGTACCTGCCAGAGATATGAACTTTCAGTGAGCCGTGTCAACCTCAACAGACCAGAAACAGAACTTAAAAGTCCACTTATATTTCATTATTTGAAATCATAATGATGCACATCAAAATTAAAGAAAAGAAAAGAAAAAGGGCAATGTCCTTACTTCTAAACAATATGCCATATTTTTTATCATCGTATCTGGGAGGCAGCAGATGGTGGCGGTTTCTTTTGCCCCCACTCACTTCCCTTTCTGAAAGGTGCCTTCGAATCTTCTTCATTGGCTTCAAATCTTCTTCATGGGCTCAAAAGTAAAATATATCCAGGGAAGAGGATCCCTTTTTTTTTTTTTTTTTTTTTTTTTTTCCCCACAAACTGGCTTCTGGATTTGTCATGGCATGTGGCACTAACTGTTACTTAACAGACGACTCAAATCTGCTGCAGCACTGCCAATTTTCCAGTAAATCTTCTTTTAATTTAAAGTTATTGAATCATCAATCGCTTCCCACTGTTCACTTAAAGCATAATCAATTTATTACTTTCTCCAAATAAGATAAGCCTAAACCAACCGGCAATTCCAACTCAGGTTCTTTATTTATTTCTTGTACCAGTTTATAAACTTAAAGATTAGCAGAGATGCCCTGACTTGACCGGATGGTCCCGGTTTCCTGTGATGATCAACAGTCCTTGAAAGAGAAAGGACTTACCACTGTGGATTTAAGGGAAAAAATAGTTCAAAACAATGGATATTGTTTAACTTCTCATACTAAGATGTAATTTACATTGTCAGGAAACCTAGATTCTCTCTCTCTGTTCTTCTTTCAGTTTCCTATGGTCTTCTCTGTGTGCAAATGACTGGCAAGCCTAGGAAAGGTACCAGCCTTGCGTTAACTTAACCCTTGGCTCTGCCTCAGCCTTCTTAATTAGGAATGAGTATACTACAAAGGTGGGTAAGAAATGAAGTGGTGATGGCTGGTGGGGCTACTCAGTGAAGGCACAATCATGTCTTCCCCAGTGCTTTCTTCAAGGTCATAGAAGGACCCAAACACTAAACCAATCTTCTTCTTCAGGTGTTTCTCAGGGCTGGTGGTTCTTGGCAACTATGAGTTGCAGTTGGCCTCAAAGCCCTAAGATGCACCTGTTGCGTGTATGTATTTCAGGTTGAATCTCATACATGACAGATTCTGGAAGGCTTAACAAAGTCAGTGCTGGATAAAGGCAGCATGATGATACTGACTTTTCTGAAATTTTTTGTTGGTTATGGCCAATAATTAATATAAACCGTTCTCTTGCATTTAAGCCTGACTTAACTACTTCTGAGTTTTATTGTGGGATATAAAAATTAAAAATATTGTATTAGCATTCTCTAGAAGGACAGGACTAATAGGATAGATGCATATATGAAAGGGAGTTTATTAAGGAGTATTGACTCACATGATCACAAGGTGAGGTCCCACAACAGGCCATCTGCAAGTTGAGGAGCAAGAAAGCCAGTAAAGTCCCAAAACCTCAAAAGTAGGAAAGCTGATAATGCAGCCCTCAGTCTGTAGCCGAAGGCCTGAGAGCCCCTGGCAAACCACTCGGGGGGTAGGTCCAAGAGTCCAAAAGCTGAAGAACCTGGAGTCTGATGTTTGAGGGCAGGAGGCATCCAACACAGGGGAAAGATGAAGGTCAGAAGACTCAGGCAGTCTAGTCCTTCCACGTTCCTCTGCCTGCTTTATTTTAGCCACACTGGCAGCTGAGCTGGCAGCTGGGTGCCCACCCAGATTGAGGGTGGGTCTGCCTCTCCCAGTCCAGTGACTCAAGTGTTAATCTCCTTTGGCAACACCCTCACAGACACCCCGGGGCAATACATTGCATCCTTCAATCCAATCAAGTTGACACTCAATATTAACCATCACAAATAGTAAGCAAAAATGATAATTTTTACCATTATTATCTCAAAATTATGAAAGCTTTTATCTATAGCACTTCCAGTTTTTTAAAAGTGAGATTCATAAGACTGTGTTTACCCACCACACTGAATGCTACTGTCATGACTTGGCATGAAAAATAGCCACCCACTCAGAGTCCAGGAACACTGTGCCCTCCCCTGTGACGTCAACCTGCCTGGTTTATTCAGTGTGTGGCTGTTGCTCAGCATTCACCCAACAACATTTTTGATGCATGATGCATATGGTGCTAAATGCTGGGAATGCAAACCTGAGTAAGGTATTGTCCTAATTCCTGCCTAACGGTTTTCTGGGTTTCACTGGCTATGATTTCTGATCCCTCCCTCCCTCCCTCCCTCCCTCCTTCCCTCCCTCTCTTCCTTCCTTCCTTCCTCCCTCCCTCTCTCCTTCCTTTCTTCCATTTTTTTCTTCCTTCCTCCCTCTCTTCTTCCTTCCATTTCCTTCTTTCCCTCCCTCCTTCCCTGCCTTCCTTCCTTCCTTCTTCATTCTCTCCCTCCCTCCCACCCTCTTTCTTTCTTCCTTCCTTCCTTCATCACTCCCTCCCTCCTTCCTTCCTTCCTTTCTTCCTTCCTTCCTCCCTCTCTCCTTCCTTCCTTCCATTTCCTTCTTTCCTTCCTTCCCTCCCTCCCTTCCCTCCTTCCTTTCTTCCTTCTCTCTCTCCCTCCCCCCCCCCACCTACCTTCCTTCCTTCCTTCCTTCCTTTCTTCCTTTCTTCCTTCCCTCCCTTGTTTCTTAACCATTGCTTGTTAAGGGATGGCTCTGCACTGAATTCTGGTAATCACCGTGCTTTTCTTTTACTAAAGGTGGAACACAGGGGTGAATCGTTTAGGGCAACTAAGGGTATGTGGGAGAGGTTGATGCTTTCCCTCTCACAGGTGAGTCTCAAGCCTCCAAGGAAATGACAGAAATGCTTACAGATGGTTTTAGGCAGTGGTGCCTTATGGGGGGGTAAGTTTTTGCTTTCTTTTCCTAAGAAAAGAACAATCCAATCTGATTGCTTCCCAGTGTTTTGGAATTGGATTTGTGTTTTGCAGTGATGAACCTGGCCTTAAGGTAGGTGCGGGGTGAGCCCATTAGAGATAAAAGGTAAAACCAGAAATCCAGTGGACAGCCATCTGAAACCCGTTCAGCCTGAAGCACTTTTTTCTAGACTCAAGAGCATCGTTGTATCAATAGAAAAGGGCAAAGATGGTGAAACAAAGTCATGTATATCCATCCATGTGCTTTCTCAAGCTTTTTATGGGTATTTTCTACAACTTAGATGTGCCTTGTCCTCACCAAAACCCATGTGGAAGTTTCATTGCAAGAGACAGTGTTGGGAAGTGGGGCCCAGTGGGAGGTGTTTGGGTCATAGGGGTGGATTCCTCACGATAAATTGGTGCCGTTCTCAGGATAGTGAGTGAGTTCTTACTCTTGCAAGACTGGATTAGTTCTTGCAGAGATGGATTAGTTCCCTCAAGAGTAGGTTGGTATAAAACATGTCACCCTCCTTGGTCCCTTCCTTTTCACACATGCCTACCCCAGTTTTGACCTTCTGTTATGTTATGACACAGCAGGAAAGCCCTGGCCAGAAGCCAGCGCCATGCCCTTGAAATTTCCCACCTGCAGAACCATGAGCTCAATAGACCTCATTTCTTTCTAAACGACCCAGTCTCAGATACTCTGTTATAGCAACACTAAATTGACTAAGACAGTGTTATTTTGTAGAAGTAATGTAATCCCTCTGAAAAGAACATGGGATTCAGAGAAAAATGCCACAGCTCTTAGTCCAGTTTTGCCATGACCTAGTAGAATGAGATTGCTGATGCTAAAAATGTTGAAATAAAATCATAGTATAAAGGTCCTAAAACCACACCTGGCACGAAGTAGGCCCTGCACGAATGTTTGCTTTAGCTATGTGTTTTCTCACAAAGTAAATCTAAACTTTACTGAATTGCTGGGCGTGGTGGCTCACACCTGGAATGCCAGCACTTTGAGAGGCTGAGGTGGGTGGACCAACTGAGGTCAGGAGTTTGAGACCAGACTGACTAACACGGTGAAACCCCATCTCTACTAAAAATACAAAATTAGCCAGGTGTGGTGGTGTGCACCTGTAATCCCAGCTACTCGGGAGGCTGAGGCAGGAGAATCTCTTCAACCCAGGAGGCAGAGGTTGCAGTGAGCCAAGATCATGCCACTGCACTCCAGCCTGGCGACAGAGCAAAACTCCATCTCAAAAAATAAACAAACAAATAAATAAGAAAAAAATAAACTTTACTGAATCAATTTGTGTTCCTGTAAAGTGGAGAGAGAAATAAGTCCCCACTTGCCTGAGCAAAACACTTTGAAGATTAATTAAAGTAATGCATGGTAGTATATATGAAACCAGGATTCTTTGCTCACACAACATCCAAGAAGTACCAGTCTACAAAACAGATAGCCACGGGCTCTGCACACCGCTACCCCATTGCTGCTTGCTGCTTCCCACTGCCCATTCCTATTGTCACACCACAAGGGTAGAGGGGGACTTACAAACAACTGGTCTGGGCATAAGTATTCTTCAAGCCATAAAAAGTATGTGCATACATAAAACCATTCTGTAGATGCTCTCAAGAGCTAGCCAACAGGGTGACTCTGAGTCTTTAGAAAGAGTTAAGTGAACTTCAGCCTAACTTTCAAGAAAATATAACATAATTCACCAAAATGAGTAAAATTCCAAATAGTCATCTGGAAAATTTCAAACCAAGGAACACTTTGTTCTTAGACAACGCCAGAAAAACAAGGCATTTATATAGATTTTGAATTGTGTTTCCAGGAAATGGAAGAAATTCTCAGGTAAGAATTTGCCCAGCAGCAATGTGTGTGGTCATCAGGCCACTGACAGTTCTGACAATCAGGCAGCCCCTGACCCCCTCCAGTGCCCAGCCGGCCACCTCTGTGTGGCACTGTCGTGAACAGGGCTGTGTCTCTGCATCATACTTAGCTCCTCTGTGATCATTTCCACGTGTTTCACCTCCTGTTTCTACCTACAACATGTGGACATTTTCACAAAAGGTACTTCTCTAAGCAAATCAACAGCTCCGAATTCAAACCCATTCATCTACGCAAGAAATGTTCATTGAGTGACAATTTTGTGCCAGAATCTGTACTAAATGCTAGGGATACAGGAATGATCAAGAGAAACAGTCCCTGGAAATGATAGCCCAGTACAAGAGAGGGAAATGCAAAAATGGTAATTGTTAAATAATAATTATTGTGATAATGATGGCAGAGATGGAACTTGCATTTATGGGACCACAATGTTCAGTGTCTGCAAGAAGAATCTGGGGCTTATCTACTTGCTTATGAATTTGGTTTACGTATTAAAACAGCAAAGTGTATGTCATCATTTGGGAGCAGCAGAAAAAATGTAGGTGTCGGTAAGAGGCTGTCCTATTAATAGGTAGACTATAAGTATAACCCAGGCTGTTCTTTAATATGATTACATCACTGTTTTAGAAAACTATGGAAATGAAAGGTTTTTACAATAATTAGTTTGCATATTTTCTCTTCAGCCTCTTGAGTGAGCCTATTCACTAGAACCTAGGAATTTTCCTACACTCCCTCAATGCTCAATTTCAAAAGTTGCTGAGAGGAAATGACAGACGCTCTCCAGAACAGCTTCCTTCTGAGGAAAACTCTCGAGGGCTCAGAGCTCACACTAACCTGAAGACAACTGTGTAGATCTGTGCCATCCTTCAACAAAGAAAAAGGGGAGAGAAGAAGGGTTGATTACATGACATATTGTGTTAATACATAGGCTTGTTTCTCCCAACCCAGGCTGAGGGCACTTGAATGATGTCATGTCTGTTGTTCAACCCAATAACTTCCACTAAAGACGAGGAAGAGTGATGGGACATCAAGTGATGGCCACAGGCTAGGGGAGGCACTTGTCTTTGTCGTGTCCCTTAGCGTAGCATAGGAGTCAACTCCCCTTATCTGCTTAATAGACAAAAGATAAGGAGAAGAGAGATGGCACTTTTACCAGGGCATGTGGTGGGTGTGAGGTGGACAACCTCTGTGGGGCTGTTCATGTCCTTTGTGGAGACTCCTGGCATTAAAACCACCCTCGGCTGCCTGGCCAGGAGAATGTGGTTTCATGGAAAGGGGTTACACAGGCAAATCACCAACCACGTTGGAGGATTCTAACTCTTCTGCAGCTAAATGGTGGCATGGGTAATAAACCTGTATGTATGAAAAGGAGAAAATGATGGGTAGAGCAGAATTCTTCTCTAGGGCTCTGTTCAGAAACTTTACCCCACAGAATAGGGCTATCACCAATGAAGAGAGGCAAACACTGATCGTGAGTCTTAAGAAATTCAGATGGGACAGTATTGTCTGGAGTTTGATGAATTCACTGCTTCTGTTGAACTCAATGAGTTCTGAGCCTATTTCCTTCATGATTTTCTCCTCTAGTGTCTATTTCAAATCAATAGGAGTACTTGAAGATTCTCCCTGCTTACAATGTAAACATCATGAAGAAAGAGATGTGTTGGACTTGTTCATCGCTATATTTCCTGGCTCAGATCCTGGCACTGAGTAGACATCAAGAAATATTTAAATGAATGAAAGAATGAATGAATGAATGAACGAACTGTGTCCTCTTGTAGAGCTGAGGGTGTTTTACCACTACCCTAAGAGCTGACACCAGGAGGTCTTGCTGCAAAGCCAGGCACTGTATTCCACACTGTATTTCCATCATCGCTTTTAATGAGACTTCTTTGCAAATATGTATGGTATCTTTTAAAATACCTGATAACCAGCCAGCAGGGGTGGTCAGCTGCTACACTGGTAGCCACAAACAGAATCCAAGACACAGAACTTCATACGGTGTCACAGCTTCATTTTCCAGGCTACAGCTCCCACTGCCCACATCAGAACCATCTGCAGGTCCATAAGCTGTGAGTTTCTTTGGGAGTTGGGGGAGTGTCTTTTGGATGTTTATAACTTATGCATCTTAATATTGAATGTGCACTTAATACATGGAACTTCATAGTACTTGATTTTTTATGCAAAAATGACTTAATTAAAATTTCTTGAAGAAACATCATAGAATGAATATGGAGATCACTTAAGTACCTTCCTGCTCTGTACATAATGATAAAATTCTGGTAGCTGATCTAAAGCTAAGAAGAATGTGGGAGGAAACAAAATGCAAGTGGTTAGGTAACTGCTCTATTTATCGATTTATCTCTCGTCCTTGCAGATAATCTAACTTACAGGCCATCTTGCTTTCTGTCAATCTATCTTTTTCTGTTTCTTTACACCTACACATCTATCTAGCTACCTGCTTATCTCTGTCTGTCACAGCACTTCTAAGCAATACGATTAAGAGGACTAGGTTTTTGTTTCTTTTTTAAAATGTGCCACTTTGTCTGTTAACACCTGGAATGGAAAACCTACTGCCTCATGGTCTGTTTAATGGTACCTCAGTTTATCCATTCAGTATCTAAGTGAGGGGAGAGCAGTGATCCAGGATTAATACAATATTAAACTCTTCCCCTGCTCTTTACTTGTAGAGGACGTCCTATAGTTGGGGAACATCTGCCTCACACTGTGTCTCCATTGTAGGTCATTTGAATTGAGGAGTCCTGCCTCTCCCAGACATCACACCACAGCTTTCAACACATAACTCTTAGTCTTTTCTGCACCCCAGGACCAAGGCAGCCTCCTTGAGTGGAGTGGGAATTCAATGCAGGGACTCTGGAGGGCTTTTGAGGTCATCTTGAAAGAAGGGTACAAGGGCCAGGCGCAGTGACTCACACCTGTAATCCCAGCACTCTGGGAGGCCGAGGCGGGGGGATCACCTGAGGTTCAAGAGTTCCAGACCAGCGTAACCAATATGGTGAAACCCTGTCTCTACTAAAAATACAAAAATTAGCTGGGCGTGATGGCAGGCGACTGTAATCCCAGCTGCTAGGGAGGCTAAGACAGGAGAGTTGCTTGAACCCAGGAGGCGGAGGTTGCAGTGAGCCAAGATCACCACACTGCACTTCGGCCTGGGTGACAGAGCAAGACTCAAAGAAAGAAAGAAAGAGAGAGAGAAAGAAAGAAAGAAAGAAAGAAAAGAAAGAAAGGAAGGAAGGAAGGAGGGAAGGAAGGAGGGAGAGAGAGAGAGAAAGAAAGAAAGAAAAGAAAGAAAGAAAGAAAGAAAGAAAGAAAGAAAGAAAGAAAGAAAGAAAGAAAAGAAAGAAAGAGAAAGAAAGAAGGAGGAAGGAAGGAAGGAAGGAAGGAAGGAAGGAAGGAAGGAAGGAAGGAAGGAAGGAAAGAGTACAAGAAAATGGGAGCCACCCACAAACAATTTCATGTGCTTTGACATTTTTCAAGGTCCCCGGCGGTGGTGCCTGGCTCGATTTCTTCTTTAGTGAGTGCAGGAGCCATGGGGACCAGGTCCCAAAGATCCCAGGCTTCACTTTAAGCATCTCCTAATCTGGCCAGGCTTGTGATCTCTTTAGGGATGATGTCTGAAACGAAGGAGTGGTCAAACAACAGGGCATTGTCACAGCAACCAAAGCTCTGAAAGGATGGCAAGCTTTCCCAACCTGTGGCCTGCGGGCTGCACGTGGCCCAGGATGGCTTTCAATGCAGCCCACACAAATTCATCAACTTTCTTAAAACATTATAAGATTTTTTTGCAATTTTTTTAGCTCATCATCTATCATTAATGTTAGTGTATTTTAGGTGTGGCCCAAGACAATTCTTCTTCCAATGTGGCCCAGGGAAGCCAAAAGATTGGACCCTCCTGAAATGAGGCACAAGAACGTGCAGCCCGGGCTCCTGATGCCGAGGACCGGGAAAGGCCCAACGGAGTTTGGCTTTAGTGAGGAGCTTCAACAGTCAGGATTCCTATTAACACTGTGATTGTGTTCCTTTGGTGGACCTTGGAAGTGTTCAAACAATCTCAAGTACATATGCAAGTTAGCTGAGGGAAGAGCTGTTTTTCATTCCTGTGAGACAGCTCTCTGAATGAATTCAGTTTGTCTAGACAGACTGTAAATCCACTGGGTAATTATCTCACCTCCCATCACTATGGAGTAAAAAATAAATAAAGAGCGTTAGAAACTTCCATGTTAAATCAAAATCTGCCGATTACGGGTGTATTCATTTCCTAGGGCTGCCATAAGAAAGTACTGTGGACTGGGTGGCATGAACAACAGAAGTGTGCTGTCTTACAGTCCTGGGGGCTGGGCGTCCAGAATCCAGGTGTTGGCAAGGTTGATTGCTTCTGAGGCTGAGAGGAAGAATCCGTTCCAGGGCTCTCCCCTGGCTACCAGGGGTTTGCTGGCCATCTTTGGAATCCGTTGGGTTCACTCCTTTCCCCACCCTCATCTTCACGTGCTGTTGAGTGTGTGTGTGTGTGTGTGTGTGTGTGTGTGTGCAAATTTCCCCTTTCTATGAGGGTGTCAGCCATATTAGGGCCTACCTTGTCCATGAAGTATGATCTCATCTTAACTAATTAGACGTTCAAAGACTTATCTCCACATGAGGTCACATTATGAAGTGCTGGGGCTTAGGACTTCAACTTGTGAATTTTGGGGCAGACACAATTCAGTCCATAACTGTGGCGAAGATGTTTTAAAAATCGCTGTTTTACAGTGAATCCTGACCCCTCTCATCCCCCGTTTGAGCTTGTGTTGGTAGAACTTCTGCTGTGAATCCCAGACTCTGTTCTCATGTTTACAGGGCAGCCCAGTTACCAGAATTTGCCACTAGCGGAGTCTTGTATGTATATTTGAAATATTTCATAATCTGTAGTTGGCATTACTACATGGCAATGATTATAAGGCAATGAAAGTACAGGACTAATACAGATGTTCTAAGCATTCTGGAAAACTATAAACATTTTCTCCAGTCAAAGTTCACATTTCTATTTATAAATGCTGGATCGTAACGATTCAAAAAACTTTCCTCAAAAGCTGATAACTTAGTGGTTTAGGCTCTATGTTTATAAAGACAAAGGAATCTTTTTGAATTTTGAAATAACAACTGAATACAAGAGCCAAAGAAAGTACTTTGAATGTCCTTATAAACAGAGTGACTTTCTCTTTTCAGAGATAATTAGGTAAAAAATAGATAGGTCAGCCTATTTATTTGAAGCGTTATTGCAATAAAAGAGAATTATCCAGATTAAAGCTGCTTCAGCTTAAACTTATTTTTTCACATTCATTTTCTACTTAGTGCTGTAAAAATTAAATTTATTTGTAACTAAATTGGGAACAAAAGCTTGCTATGAAACAAGACCCACAAGCATTGACTAACCAAGCTCCGCCTGTAGCCCCGAGGAGAGCCTTGGCATAGCTGAGCAGTCGGTGAAACTGCCTGAGTGAAGTGTTTGGTCTGTGATGTGATTAGCGTCTGTCACTACAGCAGCAAGGCCAGGTCACAGGGATGAGCACTTATCGGTGAACTGAACACAGAAATGACCAAGGACTGGGGCTAGAGTCCAGCAAAAAGCAGCACATCATATTCCTTAGACGAGTCATAGAAGCCACTCTTTTGTTCAGTTTGAAATATTCCAAATAAAGACTTAACAAAAGATGCCCCATGATTCTGTTATACTGAAAACTAAAAGCAACTAATAACTTTATATTTTATTAAAACACAAAGAATATATAATCTAAATGTTTCTGACTCAGAAATAAAATGCAGTTTCAGTGTAACATATTTACAACATATCATCTCCTCAAGTATTTATCCTATAAGTTCAAATTACACAATGTACCAGTCATCTATTTCTGCATGAAAACAAAGCAAAATGAAACAAAACCGAAACCCATGCTTAGCAATGAAAAAAATCAGTATCAGCCTCATGGATGCTGTTGGACATGAATTCAACAATGGTAAAGCTGGGATGGATTCTTTCTGTTTTTTGACACCTGGAGCCCAGGTGGGAAGACTGGAACACTGACACAAACATCTGGGGCCACAGTCATCTCAGGGGTGAGGGCATCTTCATTGACAGATCTTCATCTGTCACCTGAGCTGGGATGATTCAAGGCTAGGCTAAGCTAGGACTGTAGGCAAGACTGTCTACATGTGGTCTCTCTCCATGTGGCTTGGGCTTCCTCACAGCATGGTGGCCTTCAGGTGGTTAGACTTCTCGCATCACAGCTTGGGGCTCAAAAAGTGAATGCTCCAGTGGACAAGGGGACAAGGCGGATGTTGCATCATCCTTTCTGACCTAGCCTTGGAAGCCACACAGTTTCACTTCTGCCACATTCTATGGGTTACAAATGGGTCACTTAGCCTATTCGAATTCAATGGGCAGAGAGGAGACAACTTTCAATGGATGGTGTCAAAGAAATTATGGCCATCTTTAAACCATGTGACTAGATTTTCTGAATAATTCCCTTTTCGCTCATGAACAATTTCTGGTTTTAGTGGATAGAATGGACAAATATTGAGACCACTGTGCTTTTCCGAAATTGTGCCAGCACAATAATTGTTTGCTCAGCATTTCTTATAGTACCTGAATGAAGTTTTAAAACATATGGCATCTGGAAGTGGTAGAGTTTGCAGGTAGAAGAATAAATTCATAAAATCATGTTTCCTGCAAGGACATTTTTCCCCTCTTCAAATTCACAAACAAAATATTTTCCTAAAGCTTCCCTTTAAATCTCGAAACACATACCAAATAGGATTTTTTTTTGTTTTTTATTTTTCTTTTTTTGAGATGGGATCTCACTTGTCTCCCAGGCTGGAGTGCAGTAGCACGATCTCAGCTCACTCCAACCTCTGCCTCCCAGGTTCAAGCGATTCTCATGCCTCAGCCTCCCCAGTAGCTGGGATTACAGGAGCATGCCATCACGCCCAGCTAATTTTTGTATTTTTAGTGAAGACGGGGTTTCACCATGTTGGCCAGGCTGGCCTTGAACTCCTGACCTCAGGTAATCCACCCGCCTTGGTCTCCCAAAGTGCTGGGATTACAGGTGTGAGCCACTGCACCCCGCCAGGAACAATTTCTGACCAAGCCAATTTTTGCACACAGGTTGTATGCTTCAAATTAAGCAAAATGAGTTTCTGTCTGAAGTGGTCACATAACCACTATCGAATTGCTTAATCTTCTTTCTCTAACACTTTTTAACAGTTTTACAAAATGTTCTACACATTTGACATTTTCTTTGCAAAACAGCTTCCAAACATTCTACAAGAAATTTTAATAAAAAGTTCTTAGCACACCAAAAACAGATACAAAAACACATTTGTACATCATCCCAAAAGTAAAGTCAGTTATGACAGAGAATAAACTACCTTTTGAGATGGTCATTTCTTTAAAAACTCACTTGTGTGGAAGTAGTACTTTCTAAATTAGCTTTTGAAATAAAAAATTTGATTTTGTTTTGAAATGTTTGAGTTTATTTTGAAATAAAGGTTTTGTTTTCCAAGATTTCATAGTTTCAACTACAGAAATTACGTACATTTTATAAACTTAGTTTGGGTTGTTATTAATATTGGTTAAGTTATTAACTAACATTTTGCAACACTGAAAGAGAAATTTAGGTGGGGAAAATAACAAAAACAATAATCAAACTAATTTGACTTGTAAATTAGGTATTCCTTTTTTTTTCTTGGAATACCAGAAGGTTGTGATTAAAACCAGCCAATATATAATTATTTTTATGTATTTTTTCAATTGGAAAAAGTAACATAACTTTTGTTGTATGATGGAAATCCTAGTCTATGGGAAAGATGCAAAGGATGAAAAAGTATTTTTAGGAAGTAAGTAGAGGTGTCTCTTTTCCATGGCTCTGTGATATCTTTACAAGCTTAATTTTTTTTTTTTTTTTTTTTTTTTTTGGGACGGAGTCTCGCTCTGTCACTCTGTCGCCCAGGCTGGAGTGCAGTGGTGCAATCTCTGCTCACTTCAAGCTCCGCCTCCCGGGTTCATGCCATTCTCCTGCCTCAGCCTCCTGAGTAGCTGGGACTACAGGTGCCCACCACCACGCCCGGCTAATTTTTTTGTATTTTTAGTAGAGATGGGGTTTCACCGTGTTTGCTAGGATGGTCTCAATCTCCTGACCTCATGATCCGCCCACCTCGGCCTCCCAAAGTGCTGGGATTACAGGCTTAAGCCACCACGCCCGGCCTACAAGCTTAATTTTTAAGGGAAATACATGCTAAGAAGGAAGTACCCACAGACTGTTATGTTCTGAGCTAGCCTATTACTTCTCCAGGGTTCGTGAATGTCAAAGAAAAGTGGACCCGAGAAGCCCAAGAAGAATGCCAAGTTCGCTTTCGGTGTTTCTGATTCATTGTTCCCTCCTCGGTTACCACCCATCCATCTCCAAAGAGGGGCAGAAACTTCCTCTAAATTGACCCCACCTCCCTCTTCCACCACACACATACACCAGACAAACCTGACCTCAGGAATTTAAATGGAGTTTTAAAAAATGATGACTCTTTTATTTTATAAAAAATAAATGTTATAATTTATTTATAAACAGTGTATTAAATGTATTATTGTTCTCATAATAACCATAATCATAAATGCTAGCATTTATTGGCTACTCACCATGGGCAGACATGATATATTATGATTTATATCATTTCACTTGCAGAAAATTTATGCTGTCTCTCTATATATGGATCATATATAAGGATCATTAAAATTATTTATGCCCAAGTGTGGTGGCCCATGCCTGTAATCTCAGCACTTTGGGAGGATGAGGGGAGGATTGCTTGAGCCCAGGAGTTCAGATAATCATGGGCAGCTTAGTGACACCCAGTCTCTACATAAAAATTTTGAAATTAAAAAATGAGGCATGGTGGCACAGACCTATTATAATCCCAAGCTACTCTGGGGGCTGAGGCTGGAGGATCGCTTGAGCCCAGGAGGTTGAAGCTGCAGTGAGCTATGATCACGCCACGGCACCCCAGCCTGGGCCACAGAGCGAGATCCTGTCTCTTAAAAAAAAGTTATTTATAGCTCCAACGCCTAAGATAACAACTATCAACCTGTTGGTACACTTCCTTTTTGCCTGTTCGCAGTGGTTATATTGTTTTATAACTTGCCTTTTCACTTTGCACGTTGTGAATATGTTCTTGTTACGTAAAAATCCCTCTTTAATGTTATTTTTTCCCATGGCTATACAGCATGCCATTATATTGAAGTAGGCTGATTTATTTAACCAGTGCCCTGTTGCTAGACATTTAGGGCACTAAATGTCCTTAGTATTTTGCTCTGACCTCCAGCACTGCAATAACATTCCTGGTACTATATTCTTTCATACAACAATGATTTGATCACTAAGCTTCCTCAGTTATATTAAGTTTGAAAAGTTGGAGAAAACATTAAAAAGTCACTGTTTTAGGGATATTTTAATATAACAAGCACCAAAGACCTTAAAAATGATGAGATGATTTTAATCACTCACTTTAGAATAAAGAGAGTTTGTTTTATTGGCACTAAGGCTATCCCCGCATCCCAGAAAAACACATCGAGTGCTGAAACCAACCTATTCCAACTCCTCATAAGACCTGCCTTGGCAGGAAAAAATTATCTTTGGGGGAAAGTTAATTTGAAAAATACAATGATCAAGCGGAGGCAACACAGAAGTTAAGCTCTCTCCTCTCTTCCTTGGCAATAAAGTCAAATTCTAGCGGCTGCTATCACTTACATTGCACCTGATATTTCTTCTGTATACAATTCTCTGTGAACATCTGTCAGATTGTTGCTTTTTATACACTTGAGGATGTTATGTCATATCTAAATATATACCCATATGTTTCCCATTTAAAATGTAAATTCTATAATTAGGCCAAAAATTCTTACATCTTTCTGAACCAAACAAACCACATTTATCCGATTATCATAATGACAAAATAATGTTCTCGTCACAGAAATGTCCATGACTATAGTCAAAAGCGTTTGCATTTTTTCCTCCGTTGATGATATCTTCCTGACAAAGAACATTCGAGAGAGCAGAAGGCAGGTTTGGCAACTATGCAGCAATTCTTCCACCAGAAACTGAATACATTCTAGGGATGCTCCAAGATTTATGGGTTTTCAGAAACTGGCACCCGTGGTACATCATGCTTTGGATCATGGTCTGATTCCCGTTTCTACTGATGCAATAGTGCTGGGTTCGTATTATGGCTGGCTGTATTGCACAACTGGCGAAACCCTGCAGCTTAGAGGTGCCTCCAAAAAAGGTCAGTAACTGGAAAACCTACAAACCGAAACTTCACTAATCCTCTGAATCCCCCAGGAATTTGATTGCAGTAAAACTCAGAGACACTTTGACAATAGAGCCGTTTTGAGTTCAGAATTCTTTAAAATGGACAGTATTGCCTTGTTTCTGGCTTCTCTTTTTCTTTTTAAGGGTAGTAAAAATACTGAATAACATGACATCTACAAAAGATGCCTACATAGATAGTGTTCTTAGAGAAGCTGTAATAGTTCTTTTTCTGAAAATTCTTCAAAAATGCAAAGATGGTGCGTTTTTTCTGATTAAAAGAAACTGTTCTTAATGGACTGTTAGACAGTTTTACTATTTGAGTGCTTTGAAAATGTACTATTGCCTCTACTTAAAAGGAAACATGTATTTCTAAATAAAGTATTCATCTGTATTTAAAATATATCAATGTATGTGTCTCTACCAATATCAATGACAAGATTAATAGTAGTCTAATTCAATTTTGGTGTACAACATGTTATTAAAAAGTAGTTTTTCAATTTGGGGATTTCTTTCTTTCCTTCAATCCATTTATGACTGCCTTCCTGTCTTCCTTACCCCAATACACACAAACAGGCCCATGTGTGTACACACAGATATACACACAGACACACACGGAGACACACACACACATACAGAGACACACACACAAAGATATGCACACAGACACACACACAGAGACACACACAGAGGCATACACATAAACACACACAGAGACACAGAAATACACTCAGACACACGCATACAGACACACACAGAGACACACAAACATACACACAGAGGCCTACACACAAAGGCACACACACATAGACACACAGACACACAAACACACACAGACACACACACAGAGACATATACACAAACACACATATACACAGATACACACACACAGACACCCACACAGACACACAGATGCACAAGACACACACACAGAGATACACACACACACACACACATCCAGTGTTAAAAGAAACACGGGGCTGCTTGCTGTGTGTTGTAATCACGGGCACTGAGGCACCAGGACCAGCTGTTCTGGGTTCTCTCTTTCTTTAAACCAGATCAGCTTCGTTGAAAAGAGTGTGTGCTATCAAACCTTCATCCCAGGGCCATGGACATTTCTTGTTTTGTCTCCCTTTCATGTGAGCAAAAGTCTAGAACCATACATAACACATCCTGCATACTTGGGTTTTGTGTTTAATTTGGTATGTTTTTTTAACATGTAAAGTTTTTCTTTTGCATTCATAGGTTAGTCATTTTTTGAATACTAAAACCTTAACTGTTAACTCATTGAATAAATATTCTGGACCTCTTTTATCTGTCAACTTTTGCTGTGTAAAAAACAACAATAAAGCCCTAGTGGCACACAACAAAGAGCGTCTATTTCCTGCTCATGTGTTTTTGAGTCAACTGGAACCCAGTTGGTTTAGGACGGACTTGGCTGGGCCGGGTCCAGGGGGGCTCACCCGTCTCTCATCTCCTAGTGCCTGCAGCTTCTGGAGTCATGTTCTTCTCATGGCAAAGACAGACTCACAAAGGGGCAAGCAGAACTGGATGTCTATGTGTCCACATCCACTAAAATTCCATAGGCCAGAGCAAGACGTGGTTAGAGCCAAAGTCAAGGGGCGGGGAAATACACCCTATACACAATGAGGTCAAAGCACGTTGCACAGCCAAGTGAAGAGCAAGATGGCAGGGACATGCCATACTGTGGGGATGTGGAAGGGAATGAACGATAGAGTCCGATTTACCATGCCTGTGCCTTTTGCTTCGTACTGGGACTACAGGGTGAGCAGAACTAGCGCTGCCTCTGTGGGGCTTACATTTTGGAGGGTGAAGCAGACAGCAGATAAATAAATACAGTCAGTGGAAGTCACTCCAAAGGAAATGAGGAAGGGGCTCTAACTTAATAGGTGATCAGGAAAGTTTTCTTATGATGAGATCTAAATGAATTGAGGGGACTGGCCATTTGTTGAAAGTGTTTTCTAGCCAGAGGCAATAGCCAGGAAGATAGTGCCCCAGTGGGAACCAGCTTAAGTCTGTCAAGTGTGCCTAGGAAAGAGGAAGCTCAGATGGAGTCTTAGAGGACCGGACGCCAGGACACACTGACACACACAAACACGCAATCTTATTCCGGGTAACATAGGGAAGCGATGGAGGGTTGAGGACAGGTGAATTGTGAATGGTGAGAAGTGCGGCTCTTGGGAAATCCAGAGGAGCATCTCCATTTCAATTGAGCTGGCCCTTTGGGGGACAAGGAGGCACTTCTGCTAATACAAATTGTTTGTTTTATGACTTCATTAATCTCTAAAAACCCAAGTCAAGACATCATTTTGCTGCAAGATAGTCCTTGTTTTCTGTTTGATTTCCATTTTTGCAACGCAATCTGATTCTGTTTACTGATTTTTTTTTAACTCCACAATCTGATAAATGGATCCAAATGCTAAACTGCCTTCATTTTCAGGAATTATGCAAAAGATTCTGCAACCAACTGACCTTGCGGGATGCCCTATGCAAATGGCTTCACAGCAGAAGTGGCTTCCTGGGGTCTGATTTTCCTCCTAAACAGCTGCTTCGTCTGCAGCAGTACCGCTTCTCAGTGAAGGAACACAGTGGTGGAACAGGTTTTAGGACCGAAAAGAGCTTCAAAAATCCCTCCTACCTTTTATTAAAATGCAGGCAGAGGCATTCTTGAATCGCTGTCCCCACAATTCTGGTTCCAAGCCTGTCACACCATGTCTCTACTTTACCTCTTTGCCATTAAAAGGGAAGTTAATCATCTCTCACCGAATTTGTTTTCCAAAGCCAGAGGATTTCATAGATAGGAAACGATCAATCTTGAGCAGCATAGACTCCTAACAGATGGTAGTAAACGGGTTTGAAAATATTTCAAAACCTGCCCTAATTTCCATTCCCCAAATGTTTCTCCCGCTCAGCATTTTTTTTTTTATAATAGCAGTTTCCTTCATTGTCTCCAGTGGTCTCATTTTGGTTATAATTTATGCTTCCTTATGCTCTACGACTGGATCCAAATTACCCACTAACCATGGGCAACTCCAGAAAGAAAACTTGCCACATTTCAAAATGTTTCCATTCATCCTATTGGTTGAATATTCCATTGAAGACAAAGAGAAGTGGCATTCTGTTTTCATGCACATTTCTTAGTAGAAAAGAAAATGCTTGTATCAGAGAGAAGGTTTATGCTTTAAAGGGTAAAAGTCCACCTCATACAAAGAAAGAGTGTTATGTTTTTGCCTCAGACTCAAAACAGACTAACAGTTTATCATGGAAAAGAGACATTATATAGCAATAAACATTCCAAACCTTCATGGACATCCTCTCAGGATAATACTATAATGTAGTGGAAATGATTTGGGCCCATTAATCTCAATGCTACCTACCATTGCAGTACTTCAGTGCTCCTCTGTCTTATAATAGAGGCATAGTTTTAAATGTATGAAGTGTATAATCATGTCCATATGGTTAATGTTTATAAAACCCCCTTGTCTTTACTTTCTCCTTTGAACCTAACAACAGCCCCATAATAACGAATGGATCCATGATTTTGTTCCCATTTTACAGATGAGGCAACAGAGAGAGGACAGAGGCATCAGGCAGCTTGCTCAAGATCACACATCTGGGGCCAAGACAGCCAGGACAGGAACTCTTACATTTAACAAACTTCATCTTTCTTTTGGGTTGTGAATTCATATGTATCTGTAATAAAAATTGTCAGGCAATTCGGAAAGGCGTGGGGAAAACCTTTAAAACTTTACGTAGTTTTACCACCCAAAGAAGTCATTAAAATTTTGCTTTGCTTGAGCCTGTATCTACTATTTCTTATTACAAAACTCAGGTCATATTGTTTTGTAAGCTGTCTTTTTCACTTAATGGCTACATGGTAATCCATCAAAATGGTTTAACTGTAATTAATTTAATCAATTCCTTTCAGTGGGTTTTTCCCCATTTTCTCCTGTTTCAAGCATCCTTGTCATTTAATTAAAGCAGGGATACTTAGGGAGAATAGATTCTTGATAATTTCCAGAAGATACATTCCTGGAAGACAATTTGCTAGGGTAGAGGGTATCAACCACTCTAAGACCTTAAGTCCACACTGACAAAATGACCCATCGGCAAAGTTATTGCTAGAGACCCTGCCATCGGCAGGATCTCAGATCCATTTCCTGGGAACTGCCTTGACTTACGTGCTCTTTCTCTGGGCTTAGCACCACTATAAGTAGCATTTTTCACCTGTAAGTGGAAGACATAATAAGCTTCCTTGTGTGAACCTCTTTGAGAATAACACTACTCAGTAGTGCCCAAGGTCAAATTGTTCTTCTGGCCTCTAGAGTGGCTCATTTGGGCTAGAGGAGAGAAGGGAACTCTCCTAGAACTAATATGTTAGTGAGGAAGACACAGTAAACAAATCAGTAAACAAAATACGATGTAATCAATGTCACAGGGTAGCAAGCACAATACAGAAAAACTGAGCAGGGTAAGGGGAGAGAGTGCCATCCTATTAGCCCAAGGAGATTAGGAGGGAGCATGACAGCTCAGAACACTTGTGCTGAAAGAGGTGACAGGTCACCTGGCCCCATCTGCCGATGTCAAAGTCACGAACCAAGGTCCAGATGAAACAGGAGAGTACCCTGGCCCCCTTCTCAGGGCATGCAATGGGAGTGCAGCTCTCTGTTTGACCACCAAGAGCTCAAACCCCTTGCAGGAGGGGGAGCATGCATACAGGCAGGTGCAGGAGCTGGGGTGAGCTCTTTGGGCTTTGACCTTGTGGTAGTATCTAGGGGTGGGTGCCTGCGACTCCAGTGTTATAAAGCTCTTTTAGCTCTGCCATCCACAGATAGCTTAAGTGTTAACCAGCTCAGTGCCCTCTCTGCCTTTCTGCAAGGGCAGAGGGCCAGTGTGACAGCTTTCTGTATCCTGAGCTCTTGTCCAGTCTTCTGGGAGAATCAGGTCACATATGGACTCAGAGGATGAATGTGGGGTTTTATTGAGTGGTAGAGGTGGCTGTCAGTGAGATGGATGGGGAGTTGGAAGGGGGATGGAGTGGGAAGGTGATCTTCCCTTGGAGTTTGGCCAGCCGAACTCCTCTCAGCATTCAGGCATTCCTTCTCTTCTCTCTTTCTCTGCTCTGCCATTTGTCTGCTTGTCTCCTAGTCTCCTCATCTGTTCATCTGCTTCTGGAGCCTGGGGCTCAGGGTTTATATGGGTACAGGATAGAGGACATGGCTGGCCAAAAGGCAGCTTTTTGGACATGAAAACAGGAATGCCTGTCCCCATTTAGGGCCACAAGTCTCCAGGCCTGAGGGTGGGACCTTTGCTGGGGAACCCCCCTCTTCTACCCATTGCTTCCCTGTCTCCTGTTCGTATCACAGAGAGTCTAGTTGCTCTTGCTGCCATGGCTTGGCTGAGAGCATTCAACACCTTATTCATCTTTTCATGGTGCCTCCACTGCACTGTGCCACACCATCTGTCCCCCCGTGCCTCCTGCCTTGTCTCTCAGGAGTGTTTGGCATTCAGAATAGGCCTGGGATTTTGGAATCTCCTTGTTTCTTCAATATTTCCAATCCCCCAAATAGCCTAGAACCAATCCTGATATCTTAATCATGTGTAATGTGCCTTCTGTCATGGGCTACACTCTCAGCATTAGTACATTAACTCCTTTCAATTAACAAATGTCCTCTTTTTTAAGTAAATATGTCTAGGAAGGGTAGCATATTAAGCTGTTATAAGCCATTAACAATAGTATGAGTTATTTTAACCTGTTGTTTTCTTATTGATTAGTAAACAGAGATCCTGGTACTTGGAAAATGAGAGTTTCAAAGAAAGAAGAAAAAACAGCAATGAGATTCGGAGCATGAGGATATAACTGCTCAATGCCTGTAGACCCAGTGCAATGGTGCATGCTGTGGAACATCATGGGTCAGAATTTGGGCTTAAGTAGCTGAGTGGTAAGGGTTTAAAGGGAATGGATGCAAGGTCCACTTTGTGGTTGGACCACAGAATAGGGTTCATTGTTGTCTTCATTTACTTTGTTTTTATTGCAAAGTGATTAGCACAGACCCTTGAACATTCTACATACCCAGTAAATGTTAGTCACTGTTTTTGTTATCTTAATTTTTTTCACTATACCCACTGGCCATGTTTCCTCTGGAAATAGAAAACAGGGATTAAGAGAAATTGGCCAGAAAGTTGGAACTAAGGGAGGCTTATGGATATGGTGTATGTTCATAGGAAGACAGGAGCATGGGTTTGGAGACTACCACACAGTCCCTGCCAAAACTCTCTGATGACACTTCGGGTTGGGAAGCTCAAGAGGTCATCTCTCCCAGCCCCAATCTTCAAGGAAAGCGAGTAACCTTTCTCCATTTTACAACTCAACAGTGAGATCCAAATAGGTCAATCACTTCTCTAAGGTCTCATCAAAAAATTCAAGATGACCAGAGTTCAAGATAAAGGGTGAGGGTTCAGTATCCAGAACAGAGACTTTCTGCCATCAATGTATGAGGCTGGATACACATAAGTTAACCTCGCAGCAAGCCTAGGATATGGGTAACAGGGGGGTCATGTAATGAGTCCATGGGGGAGGCAGTATGATACTGCATGGTGGTTGAGAACTTGTGCTTTGGAGTTAAAGAGATGGGAATGTAAAATCCAGCTTTGCCACATTGTAGCTCTGTGACCTTGTGCAAGTTACTTAAATTCTCTGAGCCTCCATTTCCTGTCTATTGAATGGAAAACATCACATCTACTTTGAGGATTGTTATGAGGATTACAGGAATGTAAAGTAAACATAAAGTAATGCAAAATGCTCCACAAATGGGAGCTCTTATTACACTTTAATGATAATTATATTACCATTAATCAAACTGTAATTTAATTCTATTGGGCAGATAATGTTTCTCTGATATTCTCAAGGTCCGATAATCAGAAAATGGCAAGAGCCAGACTGAAAGTCTAACTCCCCTGGTCCTGAAACAAGGCTCGCATGAGCAGGGAGGTATTAATTCCTTTCCAGTACAGATTCTAGCCAAGTTTAAATATCCTTATTAAATGTAATTCATTCTTCCTTATGAAAACTTGATCAATCTTCTGAGCCTAGAACAAATCATTGTTCTGAACCCAGATGTTCTTGGTGGCGTATTGACTGCCCATTTTCATTTTTGATAGAAGGGTTTGGGGAATTCCCCTAAATCATGTGTCACACTGGGAAGAAGTATCACCATGGTCCAGCTGGCCTTAGGTGCACCTTGGCACGTTGGTAACTCCTGATGTCTGTCACCTACCAGATAGAAAGAAGAGCAATGTGCTTTGAGGGAAAGAAGGGGACTGGTCCTGGCCTGTGGCTCTGTCCTTCTCTACGTCTGAACAAAGTGTTGCTTCATCTCCCTGGGTCCCAGTGCTGCTCTGCAGTAGGTGAGGTTGGACAGGGCATTGCTACTCTGTGGGACTTCCCGGGCCCTGACACCATGGGTCTCTGAAAACAGGAAACTTTTGCCCATAGACGTACAACCTCTGTTTTGTGCTCTTTTTGTCCCACTCTCAACACAATGCAGCCTGGGGTGCCAGAGTTTCCCTACCCAACATTTCCAAGTCTTCTATGAAAACTCCTAACTCCCCTCTGCCATCCAAAGCAGACCTGGCCACATGGGCAGGTAGCCTCAGGGACCAAGTCTAAGTGTCACCTGCATATGTATCATCTGAGCTCTTTATTTAGTGCCAAAAGGGACCAAAGACTCCAAACCTCTGACTTCATAATTGAGGGGACCAGAGTCCCAAGAGGAAGTGAAGTGACTTATCTATCTTCACTCACATTAGTGACAAAAGAGGACAAGCATGAGTGTGCCCTCTTCTCATCAGATATTTCTTTTAAAATCCACACAGAGGTGCTGGAGCCATCCAAATACTTTCAACCACTTTTGTCCGCAGGACTTTTTTCACTAATTCAAAATGAGAGGCTGTGATGTCGAGCCCACCTTAGGTGACTTGCAGCAAGTCCTACTGATACAAACAGGAGACAGGGAAATACTGGGCAGAAGAGGGCAGTTCCCTGGCAAAGGCCCCACCCTCAAGCCTGGAAACCAGCATCCCAAATGGGAACAGGCATTCCTGTTTTCATGCCCAAATGCTGGCTTTTTGCCTGTCACAACCTTGTATCCTATGCCCATATAAACCCCAAACCCCAGGCTCCACAAGCAGATGAGCAGTTGAACAGAAGAGCAGAAGAGCAAAAGAGCAGCGCAGCAGAGAAGGAGAGAAAAGAAGGAGTGTCTGAGTGTCGAGAGGAATTTGGCTGGGGGTGCTCAGAGAGGAGGTGAGCTGTGGCACAGCCGATCATCAGAACTTCCTTGATGAGGGGAAGATCATCTTCCCACTCCATCCCTTTTCCAGCTCCCAATCCATCCCACTGAGAGCCCACCTCCATCACCCAGTGAAATTCCTGCATTCACCATCCTTCGAGTGTGTGTGTGACCTGATTCTTCCTGGATGCCAGAGAAGAATCCAGGTAACAAGAGGGCACTGAGCTGGTTAACACTTAAGCATCTGTGGAGGGCAAAGCTTAAAAAAGCACTGTAGCACACCCACTGGGGCTTTGAGAATTGAAGACACCCACTACTAGACACTACCATGGGGTTGGAACCCAAAAGCCCTTGCCCAGTTCCTGCACCTGCCCATCTGCATGCTCCCCTTCCCATAGGGGGTTTGAGCACACACAGTGGCCGAACAGACGAGCCACACCCCTGTCGCACATCCTGCAGTGGGGGTCAGGGAACTCTCCCATTTCACTACCTCATTTTAGAAAATGTTTGTGACTCACAAAGTCAGACGTGTCTCTGGTGCTTCCCTGGTCGCCCACTTGTTGTCCTTCTACCCGAGTAGACTGCAGGCTCTCTGGGGGCAGCTTCCAGAAACCTCCCAGGAGCTATACACCCTCTGGAGTCTGCATGCAGCAGCTGATCACTCACTTCACTTGCAGGTGAAGGATTTCATTTGACATTAGACGCTGAAGGGACAGAAATCCCAGAGGCTTTGTGAGCTAGGGGCAAACCCAAACACTTCCTCCTGGGAACTTGTGCATTTCGTGAGTTCCACAAAACATGTTCTTCCCTTGTCCCTCCACACCCCCACACTCCCAAAACTGTTCTTTCCCACTGAATTTCTATTAATAATTCCACATGTGAACTTTAATGAAAATGCATTCCATATGTTTCTGATGGATTTATACGTAATGCAGAAAATTATATGTAAGTTCCATTGAAGTCCAGGCAGTCTTCTGAACCTTTCCCCATGCCTCCTTCTCCTCCTTTAAAACAAGAAGTTCTATGGTTGCCAAGATTTCATTTAAGAATGAGCCCATAAAAAAGAACAAATTAATGGAATTCACAGCAACCTGGATGGAACTGGAGACTATTATTTTAAGTGAAGTAACTCAGGAATGGAAAACCAAACATCATGTGTTCTCACTCATAAGTGGGAGCTAAGCTATGAGGATGCAAAGGCATAAGAATGATATAAGGAACTTCGGGGACCTGAGAGAAGGCGTGGGAGGGGAGTGAGGGATAAAAAACTACACACTGAGTTCAGTGTATACTGCTTGGGTGATGGGTGCACAAAATCTCACAAATTACAACTGAAGAACTTACTCATGTAACCAAATACCACCTGTTCCCCAAAAACCTATGGAAATAAATTTATTTTTTTAAAAAAAGGAACCCAGTTTCCAAGTGGGCTTCCAAATGGGTCAGTTTACTCGGACCATCTCTGCTCCCACCCTGCAAGGAAATTGTGAACATGGCGCAAAGCAGCTCGTTTATTGTGGGTTCCTTTTTACTCTGCGAGTTCTCTGTCAGTGCCGTGCAGCTGTGTTTCTGTGAAAACAAGGGCACCAGAAAAGGAGAAAAACACTGTTTATGAGGCTGCTTAGATTGGTGAGTCATAGCATTTCAATAGCCCTGAGATATACACAGCTGACTACTTATGCAAATTTCAAACATCATGTTTGAACAAAAGGTTACATGGTAACATAACCTAGAGCCTTTATTACTAATGAAGCACTTATTTCCATTTGAATACAGAAATGTGTATTTTTTTTTCACTTTCTCTGGCTTCTCATAATTGTGTCTAATAATATAAAAAAAAATGGGTCTTTATCTCCACGAGGCATAGGCATCAGGCAGATTTCATGTTATTGCAGGCATTAGGGGAACATGCATCGCTCTGATTTCTCCCCACTTTTCAGTGCAGTTCCAAGATGCTAAGCCCCAGGTGCATCTTTGAAATGAGAAATTTCATTAACTTTTTTCACTTCCGAGGGCTGGCTGTTCTTTAGGCGTGGTTTTAAAATTAATAGTAATAATAATAATAAAGGAAGATGATTTTTAAAACTTAGCCATGTTCGGTTTTATTATCAATTATGTAAGACAAACTTGGCAAGATTAATAGCAGCTTTCTACCTATCAGAGTGGTTTGTATTTTGGTACAATACAGAAAGTTAGAATTGACAAGAGGGAGAATTTCTTAATGAGATCTATATTTCCAGAGGTGGGCCTTAATGCCACAGTGAATTTTGTTTTAATAAATAAGATAAATGAGACAGACAGTTGAATATGTAAATAGGAAGACAAGTGACTTGAGTAAACCGTAAGAATCAGTGAAAACTTGAGTTCGCACCAGTGTGTTTACACACACACACACACACACACCTTCTCTTATTTGAATTAACCACTGTCAAAGACTGTAGTGACACAGATCAAATGTCAAACAATGTAGCCCAAGCCCAGCCCCCTTCTTTCAAATCTAAATTTAGCAAATATCTTTCAATATTACACTTTTCTCCTTTGAAACTTGAAGGCTTTGGGCATTTAAGAATCAGTGTTTCAGCTGCAATGCTTCTGAGAGGAAGGGAGATTTTCAAAGAGCCTTTGTCAGCCCAGGAGTGAGTGAGTTAATCCATCCACCTGCCCCAACTGAGAGCAGAAGACACTGTTTATAGGACTGAAGACAGAGGTGCTGGGTGCAAGGACTGAGACTAAGAATGGAAATGCGAGAACCAGGATTCAGGGGTAAGTTGGTGGGTTTGGACCCAGTAAAAAAAAAATTTAGGGACCTCTCCAAAAATGCAGATGGGCTGAAAGACTTCAGAGTGCATTGCCTGGGACCTCCTCCCCCACTGTCAGCACTGGCAGTCCTAGTTACCTGGCTGTCTTCTCAGCTACCCCTTAGGCTCTAGGAAGCCTCTGGTTTAGAGTGTATGAGCACTTCAGCATCCCCCATCCTGACCCCGGCTTCAACAATTCTTGTCCTAGAAGGAGATGGGAAAAAGAGCTCAGCCTCTGTGTGGCTCATTGACTTGAGCATGGGCGCTGTGATAGTCTGTCGTACAAATCAACTTGTCTGGGCCATGGGTGCCCACATATTTGGTCAAACATTATATGAGTGTGTCCATAAGGGCATTTTCAATGAAATTAACATTGAATCAGTAGACTGAGTAAGGTGATTGCCCTCCCAGTCTGGGTGTTCCTCATCCAATCAGATGAAGGCCTGACTAGAGCAACAGGCTGAATAGGAAAGAATTCTCTGTCTCTGCCCTTGAACCGGGGCAACAGATTTTTCCTGCTTTGGGACTCAAACAGAAACAGCAGGTCTTCTTGGGTCTCAAGCCTGACAGCCTTCAGATTGAAACCACACATCGGCTCTCCTGGGTCTCCACCGTGCCGACTGCTGATCTTGAACTTGGCCTCCATAATCATGTGAGCCAATTCCTTATAAATACATTTACTTACATGCACGCACACACACACGTGCACACACACACACATGCACACACACGAACATGCACGCACATATACACATCATGCACACATACAAGCACACACAAAAACATGTGTGCACATGTATACACATACATGCACACACACATACATGCACATATATACATCCTATCAGTTCTATTTTCCTGGAGAACTCTAACCAATACAGGTGTCCAAAAGACAAAAAAAATAAAAAAGCATGTGATCTTTACTACTAGAAAAATGGAACTCATTTATATAACTTACAGAAACCAAGTCCTTGTTCTCAGCCTTTAGGATCAGGCAGTCAGCTGCAACATGAATAAGAAGAAGCAGAGCTATGGAAACCCGACACAGTGGGAAAAGATTTAGAGAGTAACACCACATTTTCCCTCTCAGGAGACCCTCTGCAGAGAGGCCTCCCCTCTAAGCCTTTCACACGGTGTCACTTTAATGTTCCTGAGCAGGCGGAATAATGAGGATGATGTGGGCGGCCACTTCCTAAAGCAGAGACACCTGCGAGCGGCCCTGGCCACTAGGGCTGAAACCCGACCCTCCACGCAGGCAGAAGCGCCTGGCTCATGGAGAGCCTAGTCCTCTGGCCAGGGCATGTGTCACGGTGAGGACTCACCCTCTTTCACTGATTTGATTAAAAGGAGACATGCACACATCTCTGACCAGGTGATTTCCAAAGTAGATGCTGGCAGAGATATCATTTGGCTATCATGCAATGATTTGATTTGCAGTAGAAAGAAAGAATGATGGAAGGTAGGTAGGGAAAGAAGGAAGGAAGGAAGAAAGAAAGGGACAGAGGGAGGGAGAGAAGAAAAGGAGGGAAGGAGACCATTTCCAAATGTAAATGCACAAACACATACCAATCTCTCCTATATACTTGTTTTGTTTGTTTTGTTTTGTTTTTTGGAGAGAGGATCTCTCTGTCGCTGGAGGTAGAGTGCAGTGTTGTGATCACGGCTCACTGTAGCCTCAACTTCCTGGGCTCAAGCCATTCTCCCACCTCAGCCTCCCAAGTAGCTGGGACTACAGGCACACACCACCATGCCTGGCTGATTTTTAAAATTTTTTGTACACACAGGGTCTCATTATGTTGCCCAGGCTGGTCTTGAACTCCTGGGCTCAAGTGATCCTCTTGCTTCAGCCTCCCAAAGTGCTGGGATTACAGGCATGAGCCACCATGCCTGGCTATCTCAGATATTCTTAAATTGCATTTCTCAAAGATTAGTTAAGACAAGAAACACTGGCCTGTTATCCTTATGTTATCCTTAGTCAAATGTCACATACATGTATTGACTCCAGTGTGGGAACACAAATTACCAGGGAGCACCTATTAATTAATTTCTTAATTACACACTCACTATAATTTAAAATCCAGGCAGCAACACCAATGTGAGAGCCAAGCAGGGCAGACGATGCTGCATTGCCAGAGATAAGGTGTCCTTCACAATCCCTACCTAGCCGAGGAATTCTGCTCCTAGGTAGAATGACCATTTCACCAGTTTTCCCATTTTTTAATCTCTGTTCACCTTCTCCTAGACCTTAATCCCAAAGGGATACATCCTGGCTTTGGCAACTTGAGTACCCCTTCACTCAGGGCCTTGCTTCACTATTCTCAATAGGACACTTGGTGGCTACTAGCCCTGCAACTTCAGCCGGGGCAAAGCCTTCTGTCTCCATGGTTCTTAAGCCATTTGTGTTTCTCACGACTTTCCCAACACCTGGGTGAGCTCCAGAATGACAGAAAAATAGAGCATCAGGGCCCAAAATGACCTCCTATGACATTCTCTCTAAATCCTTTCTATTACAGATGGAGGAAAAGAGACTCAAAGAGACCTTAGGCTGTTCTCAGATGTCCATGGCTGGCGAGTGGCAACGTTAGGACTAGAAACCCAGTCTACTGGCTCTCCTCCAACCTCTGCTTTTTCTGCAATACCAAATATCCACAGGTTTCTGTGCCCAGAGTTCTCCTAAGGAATGGGCCATGGCTGAGGACTAAAGACACAGTGGATTAGTGCTGAGGCAGGAGGCTTTTTAAAAACTCTGTGTAAAAGACTTATTCTGAGCCCTCTGTTGCAAGCATATTAAAATCGTCTCAGTGTTCAGAATGAGGATGAAGTGCTGGGAATGGAGGAATAAAATATCACAAGACACTCAGTCTTGCCTCCTTGCAATGGGCTCCAAGCAGGCTGAGTCCAGCCTAGAAAAATATGCAGACCTTGAGCCCAACACAGCAGGTGGGGTGACGGGTAGACTCCCTGCTTTCAGCTCCTCGAAACGTTTTCAAGAAACGAAATGAGCTTAAAAGAAATGAGTTTGTGAGCTTAAGGGAAATTTAATAACCACCTCTCCTTTCTGTTCCTCTTTTACTGGGCTTTTTAGGGATTTGTGCTGGCAAGGAGACAAAGATATTGTCTTCTTCTGCGGAGAGCAGGCAAGGAAGGTAACATGGAGTCAAGGCAAACGGTGCCAATTAGTGAAATGCTGTTGAGTCCAGAGATTGTTGTTAATCTGCTTGCCCCTGCTCCTTTGAGCCCTGGCAATCACTTCGCTCTTTGTTAAATTCTTTTAAATTGGTGGAGACAATTGCACTCATCAGACACTTTATACACACAAGTAATCCACTTCCCGCTCCCCCAGAGCATGCGTGCATGCACATACACACACCATGCACATCCTGTGTTTGGAATTGTGAGAGGAATGAGGAGCAAACTGTTCCCCTCTGGCCCAGTGGACTGGTAACCCTGAGGCACCCTCAGCCACCGCCAGGGCATCAGTCACACTGTCTCCTTTTCCTGGGCCCTTCTTTGATGGTATCTCTCGTCACTGATTTGACTTTGTAAGGTGACTCATCCCCTGAGTTTTTCTTTTTGTTTGTTTGTGTTGTTTTAGTGTGTTGTCTATTTGTTCTGTCTTTAAACCAATGAGCTATAAAGTGAATATTGGGACATGGGGTAAAGTCATCCCCCATGGGTGGTGTTTAGCATGAGTCTAGACCCAGCAATGCCCCAGATACTCCATTGCTCAGACATATCTGAGCTCAGAAGTTTGAAGCAGCCTTCACCTTTACAGGGTTGATGATATGGTTTGGCTGTGTCCTCACCCAAATCTCATCTTGAATTGTAGTTCCCATAATTCCCACATGTTGTGGGAGGGGCCTGTGGAGATAATTGAATCATGGGGGTGGGGTCTCCCCCATACTGTTCTCATGGTAGTGAATAAGTCTCACGAAATCTGATGGTTTTATGAGGGGTTTCCCCTTTCGCTTGGCTCTCAGTCTCTCTTGCCTGCTGCCATGTAAGATGTGACTTTGCTCCTCCTTGTCTGCCAACATAATTGTTAGGCTTCCCCAGCCATGTGGAACTGTGAGCCAGTTAAACCTCTTTCCTTTATAATTACCCAGTCTTAGGTACATCTATCAGCAGCATGAAAACAGACTAATATAGGTGACCTCCTCTCTTTGTCTCTGCCTCTCTCTCTCTTTTTACTGTGTGTGTGTGCCTGTGTGTTTGTCTGTCTCTGCCTCTCTGTTTTTCTCCTATTAGAACTGTAGAGTCAGTTGAGGCTCCTGCCTTGCCTTCTAAACAATGGAGGGATCCCATGGACTCCTGGGCTAAGCCCATCCATCTCAAAAGTAATCAGCCAGACTCTGAGCTGGTGAATCATGGGCCCCCATGGTACCACTAACCCACCTGACTTCAGGTTCTCTAGGGTGGAGGGTCCCATGCTGGCCCTTACCTCAGGCAAAGAGCTTAGCTTTAGTCCAGAACTCTTTATATTCCTGTAATGCATACAACCAGATTCCTGGCTACAACTCCATGTATCCTGGCCAGAGCCTTCAGCCTGGCTAACTCTGGTTTTGTTCTCTTTCCAGTCTAACAAGATGTGTTCTTACGGATGAACAAAGCAGTCTCTCCTTTTTGCTGTCTTCCTCCTTTAAATGTTATCTGTCCTTGCTAGCAGAAAGCATGCATTCACGTCTATACCTCTTTCCTATAATTCTTTAGTTGGTTTTTCTATCTGCTTCTGAACTATAAGTCATTTGAAGACAAGGATTACATATTTCTACTCCTTACTCCCCCATGCTGAGTGCCCACCTCATAGGAGAGGCTCACTCTTGAGTGTCCGGAAGAAGAAAGGCTAGAAACAGGGAAGTGTGGACAGATGCTGGCTGAGGAGAAAGAGGAGTTGAATGTGGTCCCAGCCATTTGGATGATGGAGACTTATCGGGGTGACCAAGTGGAATTGCCTTGGGCTGCTGTAGACAGGAGCCCAAGGCTGCAGGGAGGAGCTAGAAGCAGAAGTGAGCATCATTAGCAGAGGTGATAGCCGAGGAGCTGAGGAAAAGATGGTTCTCAGAGGAAAGAGAGAAGGGAAGGAAGAGGCCAAGGACAGATCCTGCAGGATTGTCTGATTCTTTCTTCCACAGAAGGACAAGTCAAGGAGGATGGATATTATTTCAGCTAATCCTTCCAACAACTCTTTGTGGTATTAGTTTACAGACAGAGATGAAGCTCAGAGAGTTTCAATATGCCCAGAACCATATGGCTACTAAATGGACCACCCCTGGGGCACTCCACACCCTCTCCCCTGGCATCTTCTGACCTGTTTTAGTCACTGAATTAATTTCTATAACCAATTGATCACTCTATTTCACTGGATTCACAAAAATATCTTAAGAAATCCCTTTTGATGTTCTAGCTGTTACTTTCTTCAAGCAAATCTGAAAGCAAAACATGAATGCAATGACTGTTTGTATCTAGAAGAAAAATAATCTATTAACATTGCATTCGTTACTCCCTGATCACTAGACAGAGAAGATGTTCAGGCAATAGAAGAACTACACCCAATTAAGGGACATGCTTCCTTGAAAGTCCAAGGCCGTGAGTAATTGAAACCATCCAGCCAGCACAGAGGCAGCTCAGAGCAGGGTTGCTTAGTACATAAATAAGGCCATGGCACCTGCTTGGATAACATACTCCCTGTGGCTTCAACTGCCACTGCTTTCTTTAGAATCTTGATTTGCAAGAAGAACATGGGTTTTCTTTAGTCCAGGGCTGTGATATAATTAAAAAAAAAAAAAAAACATATTTTATCTTTGTCCCTGATTCCTGGCACAGGGCTTCGAAAACGCTTGGCATTTCCTGAGTGATAGAAGGTCTTTTGTCACTCGTAACAAGCCCTTGTCACCAGATTATATATGAGTTTATGCTAATGAGGTGACTCAGTGGTTCTTAGATACTTTCAAGGGAAGGCTTGGTCATGTCAGAAAAATCCAACATGAGATTAAAGGTTTGGAACTCTCAGTACCACTCCCTGACCTCAGGGGAGGGGAGAAGAGCTGGAGACTGAGTTTAGTCACCAATGGACAATAATTTAATTAATCATGCCTGCATAATGAAACCTCCATAAAAACCCTGAATAATGGGGCTTGGGGGGCTCCCTGTGGGAAACGTATCCATGTTGGAGGGTGGTGCACCCTGGCTCCAGCCAGAGTTGGGGCAGAGGGTCCTGCACGCCTCCCTTGCCCTGGACTCTGCCCAATGCTTGTCTTTCACTTGGTTGTCCCTGAGCTCTAGCATTTGCAATCAAACCGTAGTTGTCAGCACAGCACTTTCAGTGAGCTCTGTGGGTTGCTCTAGCAAATCATCAAGTCTGAAGTGGGGGTCATGGGAACCTCCAAATCTGTAGCCAAGGCGGCCGAAGTGGGGGTACTTTGGGGACTGACAGTTGCTTCTGGTATCTAAAGTGGGGACGGTCTTGTAGGACTGTGCCCATCACTCGGGGGGTCTACACTAACTCCAAGTAGTTAGTGTCAGAATGAAATGAATTGCAGGACACCCAGTTAGTGCCCAGAGATTTGGTGTTAGAACATAGAGGCCGTCAACTGAAGGATGACAAAGTTCATAAATTTGGAAAGGAGAGCTTTATTTCTCACGAAGGGCTGCAGCCTGTGGGGTGGCCATTCTGACAGGCTGGGAAGCAGAGCCTCTGGTTAGAAGACCAGAGCAGGCATGTCCAGAGTGGAAAGAATAAGAAAGGGATTTATGCTGCATGGGGTGGGCCAATCTCCATCTTCAATAAGCCATAGGAGGAGCATGAGTACGCATGAAAGGAGAAACATGCACACACAATTGAGCTTCATGCCTCTTCATGAGTCATATGTTCAAAACATGGCAGCATTACCACAATCTGAGGGTGGAATTTTCAGCCCTCTGCCTTTAAAAGGTGAAGCAGAGGGCACAAAAACCCTCACTGGGTGTATTAGTCTGTTTTCACGCTGCTAATAAAGACATACCTGAGAATGGGAAGAAAAAGTGGTTGAATTGGACTTACAGTCCCACATGGCTGGGGAGGCCTCAGAATCACGGTAGGAGGTGAAAGACACTTCTTACATGGCAGCAGCAAGAGAAAATGAAGAAGCAAAAGTGGAAACACCCAATAAACCCATCAGATCTCATGAGACTCATTCACCATCACGGGAGCAGCATGGGAAAGACTGGCCCCCATGACTCAATTGCCTCCCCCTGGTCCCTCCTACAACATGTGGGAATTCTGGGCGATACAATTCAAGTTGAGATTTTGGTGAGGACACAGCCAATCCACATCACTGGGCATCCTCTGTAGACTGGCCAGAACCACTCTGTGGTCAATGGTCTCTTATCAGGAAGCAGTGCTGGTCAGTTGTGTCAAAATTGCAAAAAGAGAGGCACAGCATCTGCCACTTGGTTGAAGTCAGGAGTGGAGTCTTTGCAAATGGCTGCTTTCTGGTCAGCCTTTAAGAAAGAACGCCTGGTGGTGGAGGGTATAATGAGGTGTGTCCAACCACCCATCCCATCATGGCTGGGAACTCAGTTTTCAAGATCTCTCTGGGATCCCTTTGGCCAAGAGGGGGACCATTGAGTTGGTCGGGGGTGTAGAATTTTATTTCTCAAGGCTAAGATGGAATGGACAGTGAATATGTATTAAAACGCAGCTCAGCAGATGGTGGAAGGACACACATGAATGGCAGTAAACTTATTTACAGTGTGTTCTCCATTTGCTTGCTGGGAACCAAATAAGATTTGCTGAGGCTCCTTCCAGAAGCCTTTCCTGACCCACCAAGCTCGCTAAAGGCAAACTCTCTGGGCTCCCAACCCACATATCTCTCCTTGCGCACGTCTTGTGAGATATCCGAGCTGACTTGTTTATTAGTACTCTCCACTCACGGATTCTCAAATGGGGGGAGTTTGCCCCCCGGAGGACATTTGGCAATATTTAGAGACACTTTTGATTCTCACAACTATGCCAAGGCCTAGGATCCTGCTCAGCATTTTACAATGCACAGACAGCTCCTCAGGACAAGGAATGATCCAGCTCAAACGTCAGTAGTGCTGAGATTGAGAAACTCTGGGTGTCCACTGGACTGTGAGCCACTTAGGGATGGAGGTCATGTCTTATTCATTCCTGTAGCCTTAGTATATATACAACGTTTGCTGAATGGATGAATAAATGAATCAGATAGAAAACTAGGACACTTCTCTCTGACAACTGTAAGTGAAAGGTTGGTTTTGCTTGTGCACAAGCAAAGTTAACGCTGGAAATATTAACATCTTAACACCTTTCCATGAAGTGGATTAGGGTTAGTGCTTCAGGGCATAGTCCAGGGTTCCCAGAGAGTAGGCATTAGGAAAGGTCTGGAGTGGACTGAATAAGGAAGTGCAGTGTAGTGGGGAGAAAGGGGGCTTTGGCATCAAATGGTGACTGACATAGTTTTTGGTATTAACAGTATAATGTTGAACAAGCAGGTCATCTGAGTCTGTTTGTCATCTATAAAATGATAATAAGCATATATATTGTTTTAAGAAATAAATAATAGCCAAAAGATAGAATCAACCCAAATGTCCATCAATAGGTGGTTAAACAAAATATGGCATACTGTGGTATATACATACAATGGAATATTATAGAGTCTTAAAAAGGAAGAAAATTCTGACACCTTCTTCAAGACAGATGAACCTTGGGGACGTTATGTTCATTGAAATAAGGACAAATACTGCATGATTCCACCTGTATTAGGGTCCTAGTGTAGTCAAATTCATAGAAACAGAATATCAAACGGTGGTAGCCAGGGGCTGGGGTAGAGGGAAGGGGAGGAGTCAGTGCTTCATGGGGACAGAGTTTCAGTTTGGAATGATGCAAAAGTTGTGCAAATGGATGGTGGTGATGTTGCATAACAATGTGAATGTTCTTAATATCACTGAATTGTACACTTAAAAAGGCTAAAATGGTCAATTGTATGGATGTACATTTCACTACAGTAAAAGAAAAAAAGAAACTGCCTGGCATACAGTAAGGATTTATTACTCCTCCTCCCTTCCCAAGAAGAATGTGTTGCCCCCGAGACTTCTGGTTGATCTTAAGGTGAGGAACCAACAGAGAGTATCTGCAAGTAAGGGATGGGTGCATATGGACACAGATTTGATCACAAAGAAATATTTCAGACTCATCTTTCCTTTTGAACTTTTTTTTTTTTTTTTTTTGATGGAGTCTCTCTCTTTCACCCAGGCTGGAGTGCAGTGGCACGATCTCAGCTCACCGCAACCTCCACCTCCCAGGTTCAAGTGATTCTCCTGCCTCAGCCTCCCGAGTAGCTGGGATTACAGGCACCCGCTAACATGCCCTTCTAACCCAGTGTTCAACTCCCCGCAAAACTTTCCCAGAGCCATCTGAAGCCCACGGCATTCTGTTCCAAGATGAGTTAAATGAGAAGCAAAGGCTGTAAACGACTAATGCAGTCTATGTAACTAGAAATAAATTACTGTCTATGTGTAAACTATTCTTTCCTGATCAGCTCTACCAATGTGTTACCCAGAAAAATAGTTTAATCAGTCAATCTCTCTTCCTCTTGGGTACTAGTGATAGACTATATTGGGCAAAATTCAAATGACTAAGAGCAAAAGGAGAGAAGCAAATATGTATTGATCAGGGTATTACCATTTACAGACAATCCCTTACTCACAGGAGTGAACATTCACTGAGGCTATGCTAAGCCAGATGTTGCTATCTGTGTAGGATTTCATTCTGTGACCAGACAGCTCTACCTGGAGGGACTAGTGTCAAACCCATTTTAAAGATGGGAAAACTGAAGCTCAGGATGTTGAGGAACTTGCTTCAGGACATATTGCTAGTGAGGGGTGGAGCTACAATCTGAACCCAGGAACCTCCATATTACACTGCCTCCCCCTGTTTTTGAAGACAATTATTTCTGTCTAAAACAATGTCTGTCTATCCTGTAGACCATAAGCTCTGTATAGCATAACTCATAACTTGTTGAGTTCTCCAAAGAATTTGTTGAATCATTGAACACTATTGTTATACCACTTGTGCTTTGGGCCTAGTCTTTAGTTCACACAGGTATGCAAAATATTGAGCTAAGTGACATATCCTGGAATGGGGGGTTAACCATTACATAGGCGTCTGTCAGTGCCCCAAAGCCTGACCCAGATCTCTAAAGGACAGCCTCTACTGTACATGCAGCCTCTCCCTACCTGGACCTTGCCTTGAGTCTGCTGGGATTTATAGGAGGGATTACCAACCACCCCTTGCAGTCCACTGGTCAGAACATTTTCTACCAGCATCACCACCCCGACACCCACCCCCACCTTGGAATTGCATGGGATTTCTTCCCTGCCTTACACATGTTCTCAGATAATACACAAAGTGCTTTCTCTCCAAAGGTTAGGAACCATTAGGAATGGTAATTCAGTTGAGATAATACAACGCCTGAAATTTTATTTTATCTGCCAATACTGATGATTTGTACAAACTCAGAGAGGATTCTTATCCCATCGGTACCTCATTTTCCACTTAGAAAATTGAAATTTTAGCATAAACTGCTATTAATCTGTAATCTAACCAACCGGAAAATTCATTACCAAAATGTTTTTAAAATCGCAGTCAGGAAGAGCAATCAGCCATAAGAAGACCCAAGATCAAGCCGAGTGCTCGGATGTTAAGGAAGATTATAATTCCCTGTTTTCATAAGTGTTTTTATTTTTTTATCAGAGAATGCCCATCATTCCACAGGGTGTGGGGTGGAGGCAGGAGGTTGATATGAAAAAACCTAGAAAACATGGAGCAAGTCTAGGGAGAAGAAAAGTATTCACAGGAAGGAACAGATGAAGAAAAGAGAGAAGTCTGGCTATACTCCACTTGACGTTAGCCAAAAGACTGAGAAGTGATGAGAAATCCAAGTATTAGAAGCAAACTGAAGGAAATGGAGGAGGAATGAAGAAACCGAAGACAAAAGAATGTAGTCAATAATCTAAATGAGACAAATCTAAATGAGGCAAATGAGAGCTGGAGAGTATATTATTATATCAGCCAAAGCATCTTCAATTGTATGTAATGGAAAGCAAACAGGAACAGCTTAAATGAGAGGCATGGCCTCTAAGCGAGTGTCAATATCAACGTAGTCTGGAGAAAAGGTGGAACTGGGAGAGCCTGCTGAAAACCTGTGCTGAGGTCTCATTCGTGTTTCTTGGCACCAAGATTCACATAAGCGCCAGGTGTAAAGACTCACAGCTATAATCCCAGCACCCTTGTTATGGGTAGATAGGCATGAGTGGGGCAGGCTCTCCCCCTACCCACTAGGAATGTCGGTTGGTGGTTTAGCAATTATCACATTGTCTCTCTGAAGGAAATCATGTATACAGAGGTCCATTTCCAAGATAAAGTGCCTTGAATTGGCTTAGGTCAGCAAACTACATAAGAGACAGGATGTACTAGGCCCCTGCTTGCCCTGCTTGAATAGCCAATGCTTGCTTGTCAGCCTCCCCTGCTTCCCTGCCTTCCCCCGCTCCTAGTTGCCCTCACCCAAAACAAGGAAGTTTAGTCTAAGATGAAAGTTGACTACCTTACAAAATAGCTTGTTTTGTTTGTTCTTATCAGCCTGCCCAGCTACTTAGGTCATCAGTCAAATACTTGAAGAACCCCTGAGCTGACTAGGATTGCAATGCATTGTGGGCTGCAACAAAACACAACAAGACAACCCTAAAAAAAAAAAAATCACCTGAAGCTCCTACTCAGCAATCAATGGCAATGTCCGGGAAGACTGTGACCCCACAGTACTCAGCCTATGAGGAACCTGAGGAGGGACCTGTGTACTAGGGAATAAATTGCTTGTTGAAACTGTGCTGGGTGTGCCTGCCTATCAGACACCCAATCTTGCAAGACCATCATTAAAAGTCTCCCTTTCGCTGTTCTCCAGGTCTCTGAGTCCATTCTTTGGGTTTGGATGAGTGAGCTTCTTTCTCACACTCTCTAAAAAGGACAATTCAGCAGCACCAGGGAGAAGCCATTTCCTGATGGTCCACACCTGTTAACATCAAAATATTAATTGAATGCAGACCCCAGGGAGAAGCAACTCCTTGGCATGCACATTAAGAGACAAAAATTGGTGAGGTATGATTTCTGGGAGCACACTCCACCAGAAAAAAAGAAGAAAGCATCACATGGGCATGGGTACAGTTTCCTAAACACACTGCACATGCTTAGTTCCTAGGGGTAAGGAAAGCGCTATGCATACGGGAAGCCCAGCCTAAGGGAAGAATCATGGGAAATCATCTTTTCTCTCTTGGACCTTCAGGCGCCCATTTGGGTCTCTTCCAAGCCAATTTTCTGTTCTTTCCTGTTCTAAAGCCTTTTAAAATAAACTTCCACTCCTGCTCTGAAACTTGCCTTGGCCCCTTTTTCCGCTTTATGCCCCTCAGACAAATTCTTTCTTCTGAAGAGGCGAGGACTGAAGTTGCTACGGACCTGTAGGGATAGGCCGCCAGTAACTCAGGGTAACTTGGATCTCTGTCACCAGTAAGACTTTGAGATACTGAGGTGGGAGGATCACTTGCGGCTAAGAGTTCCAGACGAGCCTGGACAACATGGAAAGACCCCATCTCTACAAAAAATAAAAATATTAGTCAGGCATAGTGGCATGTACCTGTAGTTCCAGCTATTTGGGAGGCTGAGGCAGGAGGATTGCTTGAGCCCAGAAGCTGGAGGCTACAGTGAGCTATGATCACACCACTGCACTCCAGCCTGGGTGATAGAGTGAGACTCTGTCTCAAAACAAAACAAAACAAAACAAAAAGATTCATATAGGAATATTCCCTGCGTAAGCCTTCATTTTCAGGTGGTGACTGTGGTCCAATGGACTTGAGGCTGAAGACCAAGGCTTGGTCCCAACTGTGTCTCTTATTACCTGTGTGATCATGAACAAGTTACTAACTTCAGATCCAATTGCTTCGTCCTTAAAGTGGAAGTATACCTTTTTTACTGGAGTTGTTGCGAAAGCCAAATTAAACAAATATGTGAAAATATATAACGTATAGGTGACACACAGAGGCACTCAGGAAATGTCAGCCTTATCAGGCTGACGGTTTGCCTGTGCCTAAGTTAGCTGTTGCCAAACACCGTTCAGTGCATGTGGCTTTCAGTGAACAATCAGAGAATCTCTGGTCTCTGGCACAAGCAAAAGATTTACATTAGAGAGTGCAATTGACTGGCTGGCCATGTGTGCTTTCTGAAGGATGGTATTTTAAAACGGGAACAAGTGTATTGCATGCAAGATACATTTGGTGAAAAAAAATATTTAGACTACGAAACTGCAGAAAAAGCTTGTGAATTTTTTAGAAATGTAATTGCACAACATGGCCTAACTCCAAAACATTTGAAAGGCAGATAAAAACAGTATGTTTTGGAGATACTTCCTGAAATTTATATGAATCCTGTGCCTTGTCTTAGGGCTACAGGCTCAATAAAATAAAACTGTCAGGATGTGAAAACCAGGACTGTCCTGGAACTGGTGCAGTACACATGAACTTGTTGCTCACAGAAGCCGAGTAAACTATACATAGTCAGAGACATTAGTTTTCCTGATTTGTTTCATATGTACACTTCCAGTGAAACCACAATTTTAAAGCACAGGTTAGCCTGAAGTAGAATGCTATGTAGATTTCACACTGGAAAGCAGGATTATTATCTGAAATACTTTCTCCATCCTCCTACTTGCCATTAATATACATCACTGATTCAATCTCTGTACCCAGATATTATCCAAAACATAAGATTTATGATTACAGAAACTACAGCACAAAAAAAGTTGATCAATCAGAACACTTTTTTTTTTATCTTGCCTGAACACAGGGTGTTTTAAAAGGTTTTTGAGCTTGGAATTCTACCAGAAAAACAAAAACAATTCGGTGTTATTTTGCAAAAGTGTATTCTAATAAATAATCTGAAGACTTCTACCTTTCAACCAATCCCTAAAGTGAATTCAGTTAATGCAGGAGTCAATTTCCAGAGACAGAATTTTTAATCAAGCAAGTTTCAGAGAATTTTTTTTTCTGAGCAATCAGTAGAACCACAAGCCAATTTCCTATGGTGATATGTTAGTTTGAAACTAGACTTTATTTGCACCACATCAAGCAAAGCTAGGGCAGGTAGGACTGTGCATTTTATCCGATTGTGTTAAATAATTGGAAGCCAGCTTACCAGTGACTCCCAGCTGGGAGTTACTACTAATATAATTTCCAGCCAGCTCTTTGGGAGTTCAAAGCTGAATATATACATATATGCTTGAATATTTTCCACATGTAAGACTTATTTCTTTGAAATGTGATAGGACATGAACTTCACTAAATAGAACCTCCTGACTTCAGAGAAGATTAAGAAATAAATTCTTTTTAATTGATGTTGAGTTTCGTGACTCAAAGATACCCTTATCCTCCTGACTTGACAATGCACTATCATTAGAAGTGGAAATTCATAATAGAAAAAAGTAAAATTAAAAAAATTCCTTTTACCATTTATTAATTATATTATTCTCTGTTTAGCAACAGAGAGATATGTACAGAAGCCACAAAAGCTCTAGATAATTACATTTTCCAATTACAAGAGTTTCAGTTTTTGAGACTATGACATCAGAATATTTCAGAATAAGTCTTCAGTTTAGAACCAGGGTTACGATTCTTTTTAAAGAGGATTACTTTATATGTATTTCTGTGTTGCTTTGAAGGATCCCTGAGTAATTTCTATGCATGTGTCACAGGTTTTTTTTTTCTTGTCCTTCCTTCCTGGTGTCTGACTGGCCCCCGCCACTGCCCCAAGTAACCACTCCCGCCCCGAGATTACTGGGTCTAAATGGCACAGGTGTTCTCCTTTTATCCCGATTACCCTTGAAAGGATAGGGAGAAAACATTAGAAATCATGTCCCACGTAGGGTCAAGGCTGCCATGAGCTTAAGGCAGGAAGTTAAGTAAACATTGGAGACCAAAGGCCCAGAGGCCATGGCAAGGCCCAGTCGGAACAAATAAGTCACAGAGCATTCGTCTGAATTAATTCCAGAGACAACATGTCTCCACCTGCAGAAACTTCTTACATGTTCCACACTGCATTCCTAAGGCTCAGTGCCATTGAAGGGAGCTGGATTGAGGTGCAGCCACCGTCCCCTCCTGGGCACCCTCCATGCAGCTGTGTGAACCAACTCTATCGGCAACAAGAATGCATCTTGGACCCCTGCATGCTGACCTGTTACTTTATGTAGTTATAACTGTGACTTTCTTTATGCAAGCTGGCTGGCTTTATTTATTTATTTATTTATTTATTTATTTATTTATGCATTTATTTATTTGAGATGGAGTTTCGCTCTTGTCACCCAGGCTGGAGTGCAATGGCGTAATCGCCGGTCACTGCAACCTCCGCCTCTGGGTTCAAGTGATTCTCCAGCCTCCCAAGTAGCTGAGATTACAAGTACCCACCACCATGACCGGCTAATTTTTGTATTTTTTAGTAGAGATGGGGTTTCATCAAGTTGGCCAGGCTGGTCTCAAACTCCTGACTTCAGGTGATCTGCCCGCCTTGGCCTCCCAAGTTGCTGGGATTACAGGCGTTGAGCCACCGAGCCCGGCTATGCAAGCTTTAGATTGCTAAACTTGGGGCCGTCGCACAGAATAAATAGAAAATGATAGATCTGAGCAACAGAACCTGAACTGGAGCGGGGTCTGAGGTGTGTGCCTCTGGTACCATTCACTGATCCAGCTCTATCTTCTTCATAAGCGAGAGCAATGGCTCCTCCTGGCCCAGACCCCACAGCTCATGTGTGGGATGGAACTTTTCCCAGCCAGGGCACGGTGTAGAGGCAGGGACGAGATGCTGGTTGGCATTGGGGCTACTACTCTCACTACTGCCAAAATAAGAGGAGGTGAGGTATTTTTTTGCAAGTCATTTTTTAAAGGTATGTTTTGAAAGGTATTTTTTGAAAGTGAGATGTCTGATCTGCTTAGGGTAACTAAAAAAAACAGAAGAAACTATAGTTAGAAATAAAATGTTGAGAAAGAAAGAGGCAGAGAGAGTGTGCCAGTCAATCAGATTTCCAAAAGTCAATCAGATTTCTAAATCCTTTAGTCATTTGGCTGACAATATCTAAGGATCAGTTACATGCATGAGAGAGTCAATACAGAATTTAGAAATTGCTTAAGAAATTAACAACAACCCGATCCCGGCTGCAGTGGAGTCTGAAGTCCCGCAGTTGGTCTGTCTTATTCCCTGGGGTTCCTATCCCAGCCCTTACAGAGTGCCCTGGTCCCCATACCCTCTCCTACCCCAGGCCTTGCAGGACTGCAGGAGATTATTTATGCAGCTGAATCAAGATGCTGACTTCAGCACCGTAAAACCCGGCTAGCAGGGAGTCCAAGCCTAAGGGCTGTTTTGCTGACAGTTTTATAAGGTTCAGTAAATGCCAACGGCCCCCTCCTCCTTTCTTTGTGTGGCTTGAATTTCGGGGTCTTGCAGGCTGGAGAGTGGGGGCTCTGCAGTCGGCGCTGGGAGGCTCACAGAGGAGCTACCCAAATGAATGAAAGCACAGCACCATCCTGGAAAGCACAGCGCCGTCCTGGAAAGCACCGTCTGTTGTTCATTCAATTGCATCCGGGCTACTTCCACACCGGCACGTAGAGGACATTATTTAAAAGCTGGAGGAAGACAGACCAGCATTTCCTGCTATTAGTCTTTTCTTTTAAACGTTGACTCCAAGAAATGGAGTGCCCAACTTTATGCAATAACAGAAACACAGATGAAGGTTTTATGCAGAATTTTCAAGAAGCAGAAATATTCCCCATCTTTGCTCACATTCCAGTAAGAATAAACACTCACATTGCTGTGCACACGTGACCATGCACACACACACAGCCCAGATCATTCTCTCAGGCTGGGCATGTTCAGCATGTGGAAGCTAATTCAGCTGAACAAGTATGCCCGTGCTGCTTTCAGCACGTTTAACCTGTAAAATCTGAAAACTACGGAACCAGCTGGTGGGCACAGGGCTGTGGTCAGCACCCGATGCAGAGGCCTCTGCCTGCAGAATCCCTTCCCAGGCACAGGGCCACCACACAAGGGCTAATGTAATACAACTGGCGCCAGGTGCTGCAGAACGCCCTTACCAGCATTATCTCATTTAATTAGCACACAGAAATGCATGCACCTTCTAAAATATTACTTTAGGTATTTTTATTTTGCTGTCTTTGTGACAGATATTGTGATTTAGAAAGTTGAAATAATGGCCAGAGCTAATAAGTGACAAAAGTCCATTGGAGCCCACAGCTCAAACACTGTTTATATTTATTTGTTATTGCTGCAACAATGCAACATCACAAATCACCCCAAAACCTAATGGGTAAAAGCAACAACAATTTATTCTCACGTGTACTGGACCGGCTGGGCCAGCTTCTGGAGCTGAGTGCAGCTGGAGGTGGCTCTGTTCTGGGTGACACTTGTCCTTTTCCTGGGGCCCAGGAGCTGGCTGAGCAAGTTCTTCTAATGGCAGTGGCAGCTGCAAGTGGAGATATGCGAGCCCCCGGTCTAGCCTTGTAGCCGGTGCGCCACCTCCTTCTCATTCTATTGAGCAAGGAAAAGTCACACAGCCCACCCAGAGTCAAGGAGACGGAGGGAGGAAATTCACTTCCCCCACAGGGGAGGAACTGCAAAGTCACTGGGCAAAGGGTGTGGGCAGGTAGGGTGAAGAATCAGAGCCAATGGGTAACATGACTCCTCTGTTCTTAGCCTCTGCATCATCGCCCTGGAATTCTGCCTGTGAGCTGACATTTCTGGGAGCTTCATAAATTCATTCTCAAGTATATTAATTAATACTGAGAGACAAAAATAACTGAGTGGTTGGCGGTGACACTTAAAGACAGTCTTCATGAATCCCAGCTGTCACTCACTGCCTGCAACCTTGACCAATTTCCTTAACTCTCAGCCTCATTTTCCTAGTATATGAGAGATATTGTGAGCCAAGCATGGTGGAGTCAATGCTTTCTGCTATTTTAGAGTTTACAGCTCAACAGGTGGTCAGTTCAGTGTTGTGGATGTTCCTTTTTTTTTTTTTTTTTTTTTTTGAGGCACGGTCTCTCTCTGTCGCCCAGGCTGGAGTGCAGTGGTACAATTATAACTCACTGCAGCCTCAAACTCCTGGGGTCAAGCGATGCCCCCTGCCTCAGCCTCCTGTGTAGCTGGGAATACAGGTGTAAATGTTCTTTACTAACTATGTAGGATATGGAAATTTAATGGGGTGACTTTTGTCTGGAAGGACAAGCTGACAATGACAAGATTTCCCTCTTCCCCTCTAGGGTGCAGCGACAAGAACTGCAAGGTGCTGCTCCCTCCCGTGACTCCTAAGCTGCTAGACGAGAGCTGTGCTTCTCCTATCTAGGTCTCAAGACATGGCCCTGTGTTTCCAGTCCTTCAGGGGAGGTTCCAGGATAGTGTGGCAATGGTGGTACCCAGGGTGGACTTGGTCTGTCACTCTACAGAGGTAAGCCTGCAGCCTGCAACTGGCTAAGACAGCTGCAAAAAGGATTAGAAATGAACCAGTGAGTTCACCATGTTGCCCCCTTCATTAAGCCCCTCACCTGCAACATAGGGCAGGTGGCAGCATTGCCCGGTGGTTAGGGACACTAGCTCTGCTACTTCTTCACTGTATGACCCAGGGAAAGCTGCTTAGCCTTCATGCCTCTCACTGCTCATCAATAAAATGCAGAAAGCCCTAGGGAAGTTGCCAGCCACCCACTCCCCCTGGAGCCAGCATCTGCCTCGCTGGAGCATTGAGACAAGATCCATGCTTGTGTGACTCGGTGCCTCTCCTGGCTCGCTTTCTTTTCCAGTTAGTGTGCGTATGTACAGCCATTGTCCAACACTTCTGTTGGACACCTTTGGAGATGGGTTCTCTTACTCTGGTGTGAGTTTTCTATAGTTGGGAGACTGCCGCCTGCCAAAGGGAGAAGATGGTGGTGCCGTGCACCTCCCTTCCCCACTTCTCAGGTCACATTAGCTGAACATGTGATAATTATTAATGGACCTAATGATTGAGCAAACAGATCAATCATCCATCAGATGGAAATGACTTTACATGTTAATAAACGATGGCAAGAACAGGCAAATGGTTAACTCCTTGGGATAAGTCACAGCGATACAATTTCAGATAAGCCAGAAGCAAGGTGGGGGGTGGTCTTTTGTGGAATTCTTCAAACCCTTCCCCTTCCATCCAGTGGGTCCTCATCCTGAAGGATCATAGAGTCACCCAGGAGCTTCTAAAAATGCCACTCGCCCGGACTCGTGCCTTCCTCACCAACTCGGGATTTCCGGGGCTCTGGATTATCGGGTAAGCCCAACAATCACTGGGAGCAGGAAGCGAGGGGAGATCAGGAGTGTGGAAGGACAGGGGTTCTCAAACTGTAGACAGCATCCAGATTCCTTGAGTGTTTAATGAGGCACCATCTGAGATCGGTCGGAATGGCTATTACTAAAAGTCAAAACTGTCAAATGCTGGCTAGGCAGCAGGGAAGAGAAAATACTTATACCTTATTGGTGGGAATGTCGATTAGCTCAGCCACTGTGGAAAGCAGTTTGGAGATCTCTCAAAGCTCTGAAAACAGGGCTATCATTCAACTGAGCAATGCAATTACTAGGTATATATCCACAGGAAAATAAACCATGCTACCAGAAAACACATGTATGCAGATGTTCATCACAGCACTGCTCCCAACAGCAAAAATAGGGAATCAACCTAAATGCCCATCATTGGTGGACTGGATAAAGAAAACGTGGTACATAGACACCATAGAATACTATGGAGCCACAAAAAAGAATGAGATCATGTCCTTTGCAGCAACATGGATGCAGCCGGAAGCCATTATTCTAAGTGAATTAATGCAGGAACAGAAAACAAATACCGCATGGTCTCACTTATAGGTGGGAGCTAAACACGGAGCACACGTGGACATAAACATGGAAACAATAGACACTGCAGGTTATTAGAGTGGGGAGTGAGGGGGCAAAGGTGGAAATGCTGACCCATCCTGGGTGACGGGCTAACCTGGACCCCAAACCTCAGCATCATGCAATACAACCAAGTAACAAACCTGCACACACGCCCTCTGAATCTGAAATAAAAGTTGAAATTATTTTAACAAAACTTTTTAAAAAATTAAAACCCAGATTCCAGGTTCCTTGCCCCACCCCCAGAGGGTCTGATTTAATAGGTCTAAGGTGGTCCCTGGAATTTCCTGCTGCTTCTGCTGCTGCCTCAGGAGCCACACACATGGCAAGCAGGTGACCCCTGCCCTCCCCTGGCCAGGGCAGAGCCTCTGCGGCATGCTGACCACTGTGCCCTCCTCTAGACAGCTGGCTCAGGGGACAGCCTGCTCCCTCCCTGTGCCCTGGCTGCCCTGCAGCTATTCTCTCTCCTTCCTCTCTCAGGCCCCCTCTGGCTTATTTTTCCCTGTCTTTGGAAGTTCCCAGTACTCACAACTGGATGCTGCGGAAATAAGACATGAGGACCTCGGCGTCGTCTCTGGGCACACAGCTCACCGGTCATGAGTGAAGCTCCCAAGGCCAGCGAACCTCTCTCCAGCACCAACGGGGCTGTGACCAATACTGCCTCATGCCCAGTCCCTGATCTTATTTGTGGTAAAGCAGCCCACACTTTTTAGTGCAAGGATTTCTGCCCCTCCCTGTTTGATAGCGATCAGAGACGCCTCACCGTGGGCCATCCATGCGGGTGTTTCGTTCACATTTTTTCCATTGGCAATCTCTCTGAAGTAAAACCTCTCTCGTATATGAATTAACTGGGACAAAGAATGGGTGGCCTGCAGGGAGCCACGTTTAAATATACCTTGAGACGGTTTCATGAAGATTTCTTCCCCTCACCTCATTTTCTATGTGACTATGAGGATGTGCTCTTGTTTTCTGCATGTTTCTCATAATCACTTTCTCGCTAGTGTGGCCTCTTCCGCCTCGCCTTCACAGACGGAGCTTGATAATACCTGCCTGAAGGGTGTTTGCTGTGAACTGGTCCCTTGAAGAATCTTGATGGACAGTGGCAATCATAAAGGCTAAATTAGAGTGGGAACTGAAGGGAGATGAGTGGAAGGGCAGGGAGGAATCAGAGAACGTTATTCTTCTTTTTTGTTTTGTTTTGTTTTGAGACAGAGTTTTGCTCTTGTTGCCCAGGCTGGAGTGCAATGGTGTGATCTCGGCTCACTGTAACCTCTGCCTCCCGGGTTCAAGTGATTCTCCTGCCCCAGCCTTCCACGTAGCTGGGACCACAGGCACTCGCCACCATGCCTGGCTAATTTTGTATTTTTAGTAGAGATGAGGTTTCACCATGTTGGCCAGCCTGGTCTCAAACTCCTGACCTCAGGTGATCTGCCTGTCTTGGCTTCTCAGAGTGCTGGGATTACAGGCATGAGCCATCCACTGAGCCAGAGAACATTATTCTTCTAAATTCTGGGTTGTGAGTGTGTGAACATGCGTAAGCATGTGACCATGTACATACTATTTCCCCCTTCCCTCTCTCTCGAGCAGCCCTACATACCCTTTTCCTAGACAAAATAACACCTTCCGAATCACAGACCCCTTAGTTATAATATCAGCATGCCTACAATTCCACCTGAGTAGCTTGACATGAAGTCATTACTTGTGTACATCTTAACCTGCACCTGCTTAATGTGAGGACTCCAGGTCATAGCAATTGTACTACTCAGAAACGCCTACTTCTGATCAATAAAGAGAATCATTAAACTTCTCAGAACAAATTACTCTATGTCCGTGCGAGGAAATCGGAGCAGCCATGAAACATCTGCATCTGGTACCCCTGGGGGGTGGGATGACAGACTCTTCTTTCCTCCTTGGCACCTCTATTCTCTAAGTTCTCAACAAGAAGTTTCCCCGGGAAGCAGCCTCCCTTTCCACCCTGCCCATCTCACCCCACACTGCATCAGCCGGTCTCTCTCTTCCCCTAATGCCCTGCACGAACACCTGCCATTGCATTTACTGACCTGTAGTTCAATTATCTACTTATCTCACCTGCTTTGCTCATGATCCTATGCAACCCTTGAGGTCATGGATTGTATCTTGTCAATCTCTACTTCCCAGCAATGAGCACCATATTTACTGCATGGTAATTGCCAAGTATTTGTTGAATGAATGAAGGACCCAAACCATTAACAGCGCTGTCTCTGGGTGGTGATTTTTATTTTCTTCTCTTTGCTTTTTCTTCGTCTAAGTTTTTTGTTGTTGTTCTTACTTTGAGGATGTATTACTTCTATAATCAGATAAAAGAATTTATAAAAATTGAGCCACTCCTTTCTGCTAGTTGATCCAAATGAAGAAAATACTTTGAATAATTTAATCAATGAACACACTTTTGCTGAATGTCTATTATGGGCTCTATGTGCAGATATTTATGCTGCCTTTAAAAAGTCTTTCATGCGTTATGTACTTTAAACTTCTTAAATGAATACATTCCCATTCAAAAATTTTTCAAATGTCCTAATCTTCGGAGCTCACGTGTGTTTAGAATTAACTGCTCTGTGACTCCGCTGGGCCTCTTATAGTTTAAGATATCTAGAGGGGGTGGCTGTAAGGAAAATACAGTTTTTATCCTTACAAACTGGTCTAAGTGAGAAGTGCTTTTCAAACATATCCACCTACCTGGCAAAATCTTAACACCTTTCAAATTCTAACTCATGTAAAAAATAGGTTGTTTTTTAGCCTGGACTAGAGGAGAGCCATGTTTTCATTTTTCAACAAAGGATAGAGTCCTAAATCCTGTCATTTGCAACAACATGGATGGGCCTAGAGGATGTTGTGCTAAGTAAAGCAAGCTGGCACAGAAAGACAAATACCACAGGGTCTCACCAACATGTGGAATCTAAAAAAGTCCAATTCAGAAGGACTCAGGTGGGTGCCAGAGGCTGTGGGGAAGAGATGGAGATAAAGAGATGTTGGTCAAAGTGTGCAGAGTTTTTGTTAAAAGGAGTAAGTTTTTGAGCTCTATGGCATATCGTGGTGACCATAGTTAATGATAATGTAATGTACATTTCAAAATTGCTAAAAGGGTAGATTTTAAATGTTTGTACCATAAAACAAAAGCATGTGAGTTTCTGGATATGTTAATTAGTGGGATTTAATCATTCCAAAATATACACATATATCAAAACATCATGTATATAATATATGCAATTATTATTTATGAATTAGAAATAAAATTTTCAGAAAACGGACAGAGTCCCGGGCAGGTCACTCTCTCAGCATGCAGAGAGGAGAGGCACCGTCAACGTCTGACCTTGATGGACCTTGAGGTCCCATCCATCCTTGTCTGAAGAGAAGGTGAGGCTCACAGGGCTCTCCGTATTCATCAGCCTCAGGTAAGACTTGTTTTTTTGTTTGTTTGTTTGTTTGTTGAAACAGAATCTCGTTCTGTTGCCTAGGCTAGAGTGCAGTGGCATGATCTCAGCTCACTGCAACCTCTCCCTTCTGGGTTCAAGCAATTCTCCTGCCTCAGCCTCTCCTGAGTAGCTGGAACTACAAGCATGCACCACCAGACCTGACTAATTTTTGTATTTTTAGTAGAGACGACGTTTCTTCATGTTGGCCAGGGTGGTCACAAACTCCTGACCTCAGGTGATCCGCCCACCTCAGCCTCCCAAAGTGCTGGGATTACAGGCGTGAGCCACCGTGCCCAGCTGGTAAGATGCTTCTTAAGGCAGAGAGAGACGAGGCAAAGGGCAAGGCAGTGGAATCAGGAGCAAGGTCTCTAGCGCCTTTCTGGACTGCATCAGTGACATCAGAGAAAGAAAACAAACTTCTGCCCATGCCAGGGAGCAAATAGGACCTCACATCACGGCCTCCGTGTTATCATGAGCTGGCCTGATGCTTCCAGCTAAGCCACGTGCTCTCCAGTTGGACAGAAATAATTTCCGAGAATGTCCACTCAGGCCAGATCATGCTAAATCCCACACATCTTCCACTCTTGCTAAGTAAGCAACTGCTGCATCTTTCCCAGTTCCAGCTTTGGTCTCCCTCTAGTCTGTCCTCCCTAGAGATGACAGATGTATTCAGATACCCCCTCACAGAATCACCCCTGGCCTCTGGCAACTCCCGACTAGAGAAAACCTCTGCTTCCTTAGACCCTCCCGAAAATCACCCAACCAAAGCCCAAGCCTGGTAGTAGGTCATTCCCAACATCTTCTTACTCTGAGACTTCCTGCAGTTCCCAAGCTGTGTGTGCTGTCTCACTGCAACTTGTAATAAACCCAACTTGTTCAACTACAGGTGTGTACCTGGTGGCTTTCGGCCACAGGGCAAGTGGTCAGTATGAGCTAAGTACCGTTCTCCAAGCTTGTTGAAATATTCTTTGCTGACTGACTACTGAACACTATCTATATCTGGAACCCCAAGCTATCTCAGGCCATACACAAGGTCAGGATCATGAGGTGATTCCACCCCTTCTGCTGCTGTTGTCCTCTGTCAATCACCTGCATCCAAAGCCATCTCCCGCATCACCAGTCAGGGATTTCCACAGCAAGCACATGTTCAATGAGCATCTACAGGCTAAGCTCCGGGCTAAAGCTTATGGAGAAAAGCCTTGCCCCTATATAATTTTGATTACCCACCAAGTACTAAATGTGGTGTGGACATAGTACACTTCTCATGTGGTCCCGAAAGCTTCCATCTGCAGAAAGTACAAGACGAACACATTCTAATAAACAGGAAGCTATGAACCAGCTACATCATCCATCAGCTCTTTCTTATCAGGGAATTGGCAGGATACATTAACAAAAGGGTAATTATTTATTAATGGTTACTTGAAACCTGGGCTTTCCACACCCGATTTCAAAACACACAGGGCCATTTATTTGAAGTGGTTTCCGGACTTTGATGGATTGAATATTCGCCCGTGCTGGCAAAGGCATACACACAGTGATGCTAACTAGAGTAACTATAGAAACTATCCTATCCTGATACAGCCTTAGAACATCTCTGAACAATCATCCGCATAAAGGAAACATCAAGGGAATAGAAAAACCATCTGGTCTCTATAGCTAGAACATTTGAACAGCTTGTAAAGGGAAAGAAATTGAAACCTCACAACAAAAAATCTGGCAGATGATAAACACAAGATTTTTGAGTTTATCAGCCAGTTGCTACAGACCAAGATCAATATACAAAGAAAGGACATGCTCATAACCCAGGACCTCCGACTGGAATGAAAAGACAGGCAGAAAAACCTGAAAGGTTTGAGGCTGATTACAGTTATACTACCCCGAGCCCACTACTCACAGAAAGCTATTTATTTTCTTTACAGATGATGGAAAATTCCAAACAGAATAAAATTATACAGAATGTTGCAAGAAAAAGCATTTCTTTGGGTGTTTCTAGCTCAGCTGCAAACAGGAGGTAGTGAAGTCCCACGAGGAAGGTGTGCTCTGTTGAAATGTCTAAGTCGATTGTGCAGTTTTGAAAGTCACTGCCAATCCAGAGATGATTTCAACCCAAGTTCTTTCGTGAAATAATAATTCCCAGCTCCTAAATAATTCCCAGCTCCTAAATCCCAGATCTGACTCTTTCTAAATGTGTCTTTTTCCTGTCTCTTCTTGCTCACCTCTTCTGTAGCCACAGGCAGTTTTCAGCCAACAGTTTGACTTCAACAAAGTCAGCAGCATCCTGAGTCAAACCTGGCTAGAGTCCCTCTACTCAGAGCAGTGTTGCATGGGTGTGTCACACAGATGTGCACAGTCACCCAGACCACAGGGCTTCTCTGGAATCTGGACGGGAACTTGGCTAGGGCTTGACCTGCTTCGGTTCACCACCTCTCTGCCTAGCCCTTTTCTATGGAATTTCCATCTGCTTCTCTACAGCAATGACTTGAAAACTGGCAACATAAGATACTAGCAACTCATTACTGAATAGGGCATTTTAATGTCTTTCAAAGTCCTTCTAAAGCCATTTAATGTGTGTGTTTAGGCATCTCTCCCAAAATAGAATGTCCTATTTTGGCTCCCCTTTTTTTTTCTCTACCTCCTAATCCCATCACCCAAAGGGAACCACTGTTAGTAGTTTTATGTGAGTCTGTTTATGGTCATCAAACATCTACTTAAGTTTCAAACCAAAATTATGTCATATCTTTTGTCATGTTCTACAACCTGCTATCTTACTTTACAATGTTATGAATGTCTTTGTAATACATTAATTGCAGGTGTACTTAAAGGTTGCACTGCTGTCCATTGCATCAAGATACCCTCAGATGTCCATTCAGTCTCCTAATTCCTCTCGATGATACAGTGTTGCAATCAACAGCTTTGAACGTGAAAGAAAATGCAATGTCCTAGTATGCTTGTAATTGTCTTATCTCCAAGATGTTGAGATAAATGTAGATAGTTTCACCTACCTACGGCCCTATTGCCTTCTCCCAGACATGAGCACCTCCCACTTAAGTACGAGGCTGAGCTTGGGAATAACTGCCTTTTACCCCCACATGTAATTGAGCACCAAGGGCCATCTTTTCTTGCTTTTCAATACTTCCCAAATGAATCCACTCTTTTTCTGTCTCTCCTCCCATCTTAAGCAACTACCATCTCTTACCTGGGTTACAACACCATCTGCAATGTGGACCTCTCTATTCCTCTTATGTGACTGTAATCCAGCCACATGGTGATACTGATCATACTCAATTCAACTATGATTATTCCCCTGCTGAGACCCTTCACAGGGGTCCGTGGTCCTTGGGATACAATAAACACTTCTCAGCATTCATTTCTCAGGTTCTTGTTTTCCTTCTCAGCCCTCTCTGCTGCCTCTTCCAACATGGAAGCCCACAGTCCAGGCAGGCATGTGGAACAACGTTCACCTCCTCAAAAGTGCCACTTTTTCTCCTCCCCTCAAGCGTCTGCACCTGCTGTGTCCTAAGCTTGGATCAATTTGCCATTTACTCATCTCCCTCAAGCCCCTGAGACTGTGGCTTTACGTGGAGTAAGTTCAAATGTTCCTCTCCTTAAGAAGTCCTTCCTGATCTCTCCTTTAGTCCAGGCTAGATCTTCTCCTCTCCCCTTCCCCCCTTCATCACTCATGACATTTTTCATAATTGCATGTTGATTTATGCATTCACCCTGCCAGGGGCCACTCTTGGGAAACCCTCTCCACAGGGCACTCTGGTCTCCAGTGATCCCCATGTGTGCAGATCTCTCCTTCTCATGGGAGCTAAATGAGAAGAGTAGACTTCTTAATTTTTAAGCTTGGTACAAGACATGTGTGCCCTTTCCCAGAGTTAAGCCACCATCTGTCTCATGAGAAGAGAGCACACAAACCTACTCCTACGAAAAGTTTGTCATTATTTAGAAAACGTGCTTCTTTCTCCTTGTTGTTGTTAATGTTTCTGTTAGAGAGACAACACAGCAGCCTATGAAGTGAGGGAGAGAGGACCGAGTGTCCCCGGGTGTTCCAACTTTTTTCCATAAGTCTAACCCTATGGAGCAAAACTCCCATTGGAAGAATCGCCACCTGGTCCCAGCAGAACAATGCCACCATCAAGCAAGCTACGGCACTTCTGAGGTCCAGAACTGTTTGGACCAAAGCAAAATCAAAACAAACAAACATACACACAAAACATGGTGGAGGGCTGAAGTCAGTTGTCTAATACCTACAACTTGCTTAGCAATGGACTTTTTCAGGAATAAAGGGATCGTGAATCCCTTTGACTGGTCTCTGCATCTTGGAGCTCTGAACTAAGAGTCATATTAGTGTATTAATGTATTGTCTGGGGGATATGAGCTCTGATTTGGGCAAATCCTGGAACATACCCACTCTGCCAGCTCCATACATTCAAGGATCTAACTGTCTCATTTATCATGAATCTCCAGCACCTAGGACAGTGCATAAACCATGGCAGGTGCTTGAAAAATATTGCCGGAATAAATTAAAAACTGAATAAGAAGAGACAATAAAAGCCATCAAGAACAATTATCCCACCCAAATTTCCCCCATAAATGACAGAATGCTCTAGAAATCCATAACTGGAGAATCCTCAGATCCTTTCTAAAGTGACAGGAGGCAGAAAGACAGCGGGTTGGAAGCTCAAGGAGTGGACAATTGAGTAAAGGCAGTAGGGACACGGGTCCTATCTGCCTTCCAAGGTAGTCCATTGGTATGCATCACTGATAAAATGATGGAGGGAAGGCATCTCTTCCAGCTTCATTGTGGGGAAGACCAGCAAGCAGATTCACAGGCTGGCTGGTTTCATCCAGACGCGAAGACACGACTTGAGGATGCTGTCTAGACTGGAGGGAATATGCTACATCAGCCAAAGGCCCCGGGGTTTATTTTAGTTCTGTGCGTACCTTTAACGTCATAAGGTGATGCTGCAGTGCCCTGAGAAAGAGAGACAGCCACACTTGCATGCTGCACCGCACAGGACACTGAATCACCAGGCCACACACTTCGTGGGTGAGCCAGAGAGAATCCATTTAATGAAGGCTTGGACCAGGATTTCCCATACCTTGTTTCATGGAGCTTTGTGCTTTGAGCTACTCCAGGAAATCAATGGTTACCTGGTCAGATAAGTAAAGAAATGCTGCACATTCTAATTCCTTATTTTTATTTATTTTTTATTTATTTGAGATACAGTCTCACTGTGCTGCCCAGACTGGAATACAGTGGCATGATCTCAGCTCACTGTGACCTCTGCCTCCCAGATTCAAGTGATTCTCTTGCCTCAGCCTCCTGAGTAGCTGGGATTACAGGGGTGCACCACCATGCCTGGCTAATTTTTGTGTTTTTAGTAGAGACATGGTTTCACCATGTTGGCCAGGCTGGTTTCGAACTCCTGACCTCAAATGATCCACCCACCTCGGCCTCCCAAACTGCTGGGATTACAGGTGCGAGCCACCACACCTGGCCAGATCTTCCTTCTTTCCTTAAAAAGAAATAATCTAAATTAAAAACTCATTAACCCCTTAAAAAGGAAGGACGTTTTGACACATACTACAATGTGGAAGAACCTGGAGGACATTAGGCTCAGTAAAATCAGCCAGTCCCAAAAGGATGACTATAGCACCATTGTATGAGATCCATAGAATAGCCAAATTCATAGACAGAAAGTAGAAGGGAGCTTGCCAGGGACTGGGGGAAGAGAGAACAGGGAGTTATTCTTTTAATGGGGAAAAAGTTTCTGTTTGGAATGATGCAAAAGTGCTGCAGATGGATGATGGTGACGATTGCACAGCAATGTGAATGTAGCTAACGCCATTGAACTGTACACTTAAGGATGGTTAACATGGTACATTTTATGTTATGTGTATTATTACCACAATTTTTAAAAATTAAAAAAAAAACTCATTAACCCAGAGTTGACCCAAATTTTCCTTCATGGAATAACTCTTAAAAATTATTTTAACCTATCACCACCCACCTCCCAACAACTGCTGTTGCCATGGGGTATATCAACTAGCTTAGGGCTTGAAAGTGAAATTCTAAGCTTGAGGCTTTTTGGGGAGGGGGACTGACACTGTTAGGAACTGATGGTCATGGATAACAAAGCTAAAGCTCTTTTGAACTGGAGTGGGACCAAGCAAATGGACTTGCCTGCTCCCTAGCTGTTCCCCAGGATATTGTCCTTGTCGGAGAACAGATCACAGGCCACAGGGAGGTGGCCGCCTCCAGCATTTAGGAGAAGATCCTATGATATTGCCTAGAGCTGTAGAGATCCTGTCGCTGAAAGCTCTGTGGCTTCTGCCTTCCATTTGTTCCTTTAGTCTAGTTCCCACCTAAGACAGAGAAAGATCATTTGCTCTATTTCCATGTCCTTGGCCAAATTTCACACTTGCTCAAAGGAAAAATAAAAGATTTTATTTTTGTCACACGCAGGGTCCCACATTTGCTATTACAAGAAGACCTATGTGTTAGTCCATTCTCACACTGCCATAAAGAAATACTCAACACTGGGTAATTTGTAAGGAAAAGAGGCTTAATTGACTCACAGTTCCACTGGCTGGGGAGGCCTCAGGAAACTTATAATCATGGCAAAAGGGAAAGCAGGCACCTTCTTCACAAGGCGGCAGGAGAGAGTGAAGCAAAGGAGGGACTTTCAAACACTTACGGAACCATCAGATCTCATGAGAAATCACTCACTGTCATGAGAACAGCATGGGGAAACTGCCCCCATGATCCAATCAACTCTCTTCTTTGACATGTGGGGATTACAGGTCCCTCCCTTCATAGATGGGGATTACAATTCAAGATGAGATTTGGGTGAAGACACAGAGTCAAACCATATCAACCTATTTTTACCAGTTGTTTTGAACCACATGAAATTGTCAAATTTGACCATTTTGACCTGCAAAAATAGCAACTGCAAATGGTTTAAACTAAACAGTTGTGTGCTGATCCTGCCTCCTAACCCCAGCAGAGTTGTTTTCCACAAAGTGTACTCCAGGAAATGCATCTTTGAGCACATGCTTTTTGATCCAAGTGTCCTCTATCAACATCTGCCACGACCTTGTCTCCTACACTAGCCTCCACCACACGTTTCTCTGCCTATAATCTTCTCCTTTCCTGCCCACCTCACAGACATCACCCGGACTTTCAATGAAGCACCAGGCACGGAGCGAGAACACTCAGCTTCCAGTACGGGAGCACTCAGCCTTCCACTCTGCCACTCTCTCCATGCTCCCTGTGTGCTTTCTCATGAGGTGGGGCAATGGCAACCACATTCTCTAGGCTCAAACGGTTTTTCTTTTCTTTAAAACACCTAGCATTAAACGCACACACATATCTTTACCCCAATCGCCTGTTACAACGCTAAATTCTTTATTATCATTATTATTATTATTTCGATAGTTTTGGGAGAAACAGGTAGTGTTTGGTTACATGGGTACGTTCTTTAGTAGCGATTTCTGAGATTTTGGTGCAACCATCACCCAAGCAGTGTACAAGCCCCCAATGTGTAGTCTTATCCCTCACCCTCCTGCCCCCGTTCCCCCAAAGTCCCCAGAGTCCATTATGCCTTTCCATCCTCATAGCTCAGCTCCCACTTATAAGTGAGAACATATGATGTTTGGTTTTCCATTCCTGAGTTACTTCATTTATACAGAATAATGATCTCCAACTCCATCCAGGTTGCTGTGAATGCCATTATTTCATTCCTTTTTATAGCTGAGTAGTATTCCATGGTGTGTATATATATATATATATATATTACATTTTCTTTATCCATTCTACAATACTAAATTCTTAATTCGCCTGCTAACACATCCCTTTCTTCCTCCCTTCTTGTTCTAAGTAATTCCATAGTAAGATTACTCCACCTTGGTGTGTCTGCACAAAACTTCCCTCTCCTACCTCTGGTGCTTTAGTACCTGCCTTTTCCATTTGAAATATCTCCCTATCTCCAACCTGAATCCCATGGGAAATTTGGGACTTATTTCTAAACCACCTCCTCCTGTGTGGTTTTCCAGAACACCCTACGGATTTGCCTTCTGCATCAGAGGGAATTCACTTGTACATACGAATGGAAATACTATTTGTTACCCAGGCCTCCTATGCTAACGCAGATTTTTCTTAGGAAATGCTTAAATACAGATATGTATTTATTTTACATATCTGCTTAACCATTTGGTTTTCCTACTCCACTCTAAACACCTTTAAAGCAATAAATTCATACATGTATTATGTATTTGTATATATAATAAATGTATACAAAATGACTAATATAATTTTGACACATATTTGAAATTCCTTAAGTATCTGTTGCTAGCCAATGTCTTAGTATGCTTGGGCACTTATAAATGACAGAAACTTAGTTATCTCAGTCTAGAGGCTGAAAGTCCAAGATCAAGGTGCTGGCAGATTTGGTATCTGCTAAGGGCACACCTCCTTCATGGAAAAACATCTTCTCACTGTAATCTCACAGGTGGATGGGGCAAACAAGTTCCCACCTGCCTCTTTATAAGGGCCCTAATCCCATGCATGAGGGCATCACCCTCAGGAGCTAATCCCCTTCCAAAAGCCCCACCTCCAAGTACCATTCCCTTAAGGATTAGGATTTCAAGATATGAATTTTGGGGAGACACAAACATTTAGACCATAGCACCCAACTAGTGAACCATCAGTCCCTAGTTCCCCCACAAGCACCGCCCCCTCAACCACACACACACACACACACTCACACATACCAATCTCTCTTCTTACTCAAACCAGGAAGAAAAAAATATTTTATTCATGATAGGCTCAGCCAGCTTAGGCAGATTCACCATGAAACTCAGTGACCTTAATCTTTCCAGTCCCTCCTTTCCTCCAGTCTCTTTCAAGGTCCTGTACCTAATTTTAAATTAATAACTTATCTTTTGCTTAAGGAAGGCCCCCCAAATTCTACAAACTCCAGGCCCCACAGTCCTGAGTTCTCCCTTGCTGGCCACTGAACAGCATGGCTAAGCCCTACTGAATGTGTTCCTTCCTCTCCCTCCTGAATCTTTCTCCTTTTGCATTTCTACAGCCTAATCTTCTACAGATCAGCGGGCTACTATTTTCCCAGGTGGATCCCATTTCCTTCCTTCCTTGCTCCTTCTTGAGCACACTTCTAACCTCTTTGTTTATCCTTCTGCACTAAGACTTGATCTGTGCTTCCTCTAACACCAGCCAAGTTCGTATTCCTGGAAGAATTCACGTGCATCCTGTGACTAGTTCTTCTGACTCATTGATAAAGATTTTTAATATACTCCGTTCTCACAGTTACCCCAGGGGCATTCTGCTGAACACCTTCTTGCAGCTAGATCCGCTGCCATTTATTTATCAGTTCCATTGCATTCGGTTCATGGTTTTGGAGGCAGGTTTCAAGCTGTATCGGAGTTCTCCTATTCCAGCCAATTTGAACTTGTTTCGCAAGTAAAATTTCATGGGACATTTTCATCAAGCGCTTTCCTAGAGTCCAAATAGATAACATCTGCTGTGTTTCTTCTGACCATCCGTGTATTGTGTTGTGTGTGTGTGTATAGACGTGCTCATTTCTTTTCAAGAAGCAAGCCTTTAAGCCTGCCTGGCATCATTGGTACCTAACAAACCCACCCACGTGGCTGTCAGTCCCAGATTTCATTACTCTCTGGTTTGGTGCTAATTAGTTTGCATAGATTAGGATTTTTCTTCCCTCTTATAATTTGTCTTATACTATAAACAATTGTTTTAGCTTTAACAGTGAAGTTGAGCTTATGGAACTACATTTCACAAGGTCCTTCATTCTAGGACCTCGGGGATTCACTCTCTGCTCCCAGCTGCTTCTAATCAAAGCTAATTCCCTCCCACAACATTCCCCCGGCTCCAAGTGCTGACACCAATCTCCCCGTTAAACAAGATGACTCAGGGTGCTTGGGAAGCAGATTCTCATTTCCTGTATTTTCCCACAGCTTGCTGCCGCCTCCCTATGGTACGTTTCCCGGTTCGACATGCAGCTCAGAATTCCCCCTGCCCATCTCACTTCATAATTTGTGTCAGTACTTCCTGGAGTGGGACTGCTTCCCTTGGAAGTTGCTGGAAGGTGGAGTTAATTCAGGTCATGGTCCTCAGGCTGCAAAGGGTCCTGCTGGACCAGAAGCTTCCTGGAGGGGTGGGGCTAAGGGAGCAGAGATGGAGAATGGAAGCTGAAAAGAAGATTCCAGACTGTAGGGAGTTTACACTGGCAGTGATTTGTACAAGACAAAATGAGAAAAACTGGAAAAATCGAGGTCATATCAAAGTGAACAAATAAGGATCAACAGCTTCAGAGAAATGAAGACTTTGCTAATAACAATCAGTGATGGGGGTGATATCGTTTGGCCATGTCCCCACCCAAATCCCATCTTGAATTATAGCTCCTGTGTCCCCACCCAAATCTCACCTTGAATTATAGCTCCCATAATTCCTACATGTTATGGGAGGGACTCAGTGGGAGGTAACTGAATTATGGGGGTGGGTCTTTCCCATGCTGTTCTCGTGATAGTGAGTAAGTCTCATGAGAACTGATGGTTTTTAGAAAGGTGAGTTCCCTTGCACATGCGCTCTTGCCCATCACCATGTAAGACATGCCTTTGCTCTTCCTTCACCTTCCACCATAATTATGAAGCCTCCCCAGTTATGTGGAAGAGTGAGTCCATTAAACCAGTTTCCTTTATAAATTACCCAGTCTTGGGTATGGTTTTGTTAGCAGCATGAGAACAGACTAATACAGGAGGTACATTTCTTCCCCCACCAAATGAACATGGAAGGCATTAAAGGCTTTGAAGTTAAAGGTGGAAGCGCGCTGGATGCGAAAAGTGTGAAAGCTTCTTTCTCTCAAGGAATCCTGACTTCTGTAGGCACAGAGGACAGAGAGACTCAATGATCACTCAGAGAATGAATGAAGTCTGGGAGCTGGGAGGAGATAGAGAATGCCACTGCCACCAGCCCACACTGCACTTCCTTCAGGTGAGACAGGGAGGAAGTGAGAGGGCCCAGAGGCCACGCATTCAGTTTTGCTGTTATCAGTTCCTAGAGTCACAAGTTTTATCTCCCGACACACTTCTGATACAGTACTTACAACATCCTGTCCTTCAGAAACAGCTCAGGAAATAAACCTTGTGACTTCAGGCATTGAGCCATTCTTGGGATCTAAAATCTGTGACATATAGAGTATGGAATGACAGACATTGGAGACTAGGAAGGACGAAGGGTTGAAAGGGGTGAGGGATGAGAAATTGTCAGAGCCATTGGAACCAGAGTGACTCCATCTTTTTTTTTTTTTTTTTTTTGAGATGGAGTCTCGCTCTGTCGCCCAGGCTGGAGTGCAGTGGTGCCATCCCTGCTCACTGCAAGCTCTGCCTCCCAGGTTCACACCATTCTCCTGCCTCAGCCTCCCAAGTAGCTGGGACTACAAGCGCCCACTACCAGGCCTGGCTAATTTTTTGTATTTTTAGTACAGACGGGGTTTCACCACATTAGCCGGGATGGTCTCGATCTCCTGACTTCGTGATCCACCCACCTCGGCCTCCCAAAGTGCTGGGATTACAGGCATGAGCCACCACACCCTGCCGGAGTGACTCCGTCTTGAATAGGGGATGGGTAAAATGAGGCTGAGACCTGCTGGGCTGTATCTCCAGGAGGTCAGCCATTCTTAGTCACAGGAAGGATGGGATAGGAAGTAACAAAGACCCCTCTGATGAAACAGGATGCAGTAAAGAAGCCAGCCAAAACCCATCAAATCCTAGATGGCAATGACGATGACCTCCAGTCATCCTCACTGCTCATTCTATGCTAATGATAATGCATTCACATGCTAAAAGACACTCCCACTGCTGTAGTGACAGTTTACAAATGCCATGGCAACATCCAGAAGTTACCCTATATGGTTTAACCCATATTAAATGATATAGTTTACTTCCAGGGGAATTGCCCACCCCTCTCCTGGAAAACTCATGAATAATTCACCCCTTGTTTAGCATATGATCAAAAACTAACCACAAAAATAGCCAACCAGTAGCCCTTGTGGCTGCTCTGCCTATGGAGTAGCCATTCTTTTGTTTATTTACTTCTCTCATAAACTTGCTTTCACTTTACTCTGTGGACTCACCCCAAATTCTTTCTTCCAGGGAGATCCAAGAACAGTCTCTTAGGGTCTGGATCAGGACCTCTTTCTGGTAGCAAAATTACTTAATGGATGCAATGTACATTATTTGAGTGATGGTTACACTAAAAACCCAGACTTTACCTCTAGGCAATATATCCAGGTAACAAAATTGCACTTGTACCCCTTAAATCTATACAAATAATTTAAAAAAGAAAATCAAAACCTGCAGGGAGACTGCTGTTACTCAGTACTCTGGCTTCCACCTGTCGGTAGTTACTATGAAGAATAACCCTAAAATTATCCCAGAAATGTCTAAAGGAAACATTCATAGTACATTTGATGGTCTGCTATCAGAACTTTTCATGCCATTTTTTTTCTGGTTAAATGTCAAAATAAGCATCATAAAATTCTATGTAAGATTCTAACTGATAATATTAGAATCATTAACATGTTACTGCTCCTTTATGTTTGAGACTCTTCACAACCATTCAAAGACTATCCATTCATTTACCCAATACATATTCATGAAGTTTGTAGGAAAGCTCCCTTCAGCCTACCTGCTTTGAATTTGGTTCCTCACTAATTGTGTTCTAACCTCATCTGCTTCTGCCTCTTTACCTTCCAACCCTACCATCAGTGCCTTCCTGATGAGAAAGTAAAAATTAACTCAGAACAAGGAAGTAAAAACATGCCTGGCCATTCATCAGGCTGGAATAACAGACACAGATAAAGCCATCTTCAAAGTAACAGGGAACAGTATTTCTCCCAAGGACACACTGCAACTCTAACAGGTCAGAACAGCCCCTTCTTTGAGTCACTACTGCTTTTTTACTCTCTAAGAAACTTTGTTCTCTAAAAGCATGGACTCTCCAAAGCTTTGCTGTTTGGAATTGTATCAGTAAGAATGAAACCTCCACTTCTGGCTGGAAAACCTAGTCGCTTTTTGATGCAGAGAAACAATCTAGATCTCTAACTCAGAGGCAGAGCTTCAGATACGGGGTTTCCACATCTATCTCACAACTGCATTGTTTCCATAGAAACAGGACCCTGGGTCCATTTTTCAGTGCAGATCTGATACTGACCCCTTTATACTACCCTACTTCGCTGTGAGCCTATCTAAACACTACTTCATTCAAATTTCATCTAAACCCCACCCTTCCCCAGAATCTAGATTACTTTTATTTCTTCTTTGTTTGGTGAGATGCCCTCTAGGGTTCCATTTACCCGATTGGATTACATCAATAAACCCAAATGTACCAGGCTATTGGTTTGTTTCTGGTGGTCTTAGGTTGATTCAGCTAGGATATTGAGCAGCTAATGTTTATTCTGCCACAAACAGAATAAATTCTCCAGAGGTTGGCAGAATGGCTATAAGATTCATCCCCAGCTGGGCAGAGTGGGAACAGTAGCTCAAACCTGTAATCCTAGCACTTTGGGAGGCCAAGGCAGGTGGATCACTTGAGGCCAGGAGTTCAAGACGAGCATGGCCAAGATGGTGAAACCCTAGCTCTACTAAAAACACAAAAAAGAAAAAATAAATGCTGGGTGTGGTGGCACATGCCTGTAATCCCAACTACTCAGGAGGCTGAAGAAAAGAATCACTTGAGCCTTGGAGGTGGAGGTTGCAGTGAGCCGAGATTATACCACTGTACTCTAGCATGGATAACAGAGCGAGACTCTGTCTCAAAAAAATAAAAACTAAAATTCATCTCCTATAATTATGTATGGTTCTGTTTATATTTTTTCAAAGTATTTAGATGATGGAACTTCTGCCTTTGTTAAGGGTATTTGTACAGGATATGAGGTATTTGAGTTATACAAATCTTGCTCTCAAGGATCCAAGACCAGTCAATACTTTCATATAAACTTGGAAATAATTACCCTAGACCAGAGATCACTGGTAATTATTATAAAACTGTTTCTGTAAATGGACAAATAGTAAATATTGCTGAAAACTATGTAACTCTGTTGTTGTTGTAGCCCAAAAGTAGCCATAGATAATATGTAGTGATTGAGCTTGGCTGTATTCCAATAAAACTTTATTTAGCAAAACAAGAAATGGGCCAGATTGAACTCAAGGGCCATGGTTTGCTGACCCTCATCCTAGACCATCACAATAAAATAGAATCAGTGTTTGTGAGTTGGCAATTGTCCTCTCCACTGTGGATAGATTGTCCAGTGTTACCTGAGCTCCTAGCGAAGGAAGGTGGGAAACCTGAAGAACTTGGGGAGTGTCCCCGGAATAAGACACATTACTCATTAATGGTGGTGGTGAAGGGCAAAGAGATATTTGGTACCTACACTGTGCTTGGTACCTTGCATAATTGGTAAATCCATACAGTACTTCCAGCTAGGCATTTAAACATCCAATTTATATGTATGGAAATCTGAGGTCTGGGTCATGCTGCTTCTTTCTGCCACTAAACTGTTAAATCATGGCACCAAGATTCAAAACCAAGTCCATCTTACTCCAAACCTGCTCTTTCTCATATGTTTTCTTTAAGAAAAAAGCAGGTCAAATCTCCTTTGCCCATCTGTCTCCTTTTACTCACAAGTTTTAGCAGAGCCAGTGTGTTATAGTTCCCTGTATGCAATTCATTAGAGCCTTCTCCTGCAACTCTTAGTAAAAGAGTTTTATAATAGTGAGTCACCAACGCCCTACCTCCTTCAGCATCTTTACAAGAACCAATGAGAAGAAGCTGGAACTTACTGAAGACACAAGCTCAGAGCAGTTTGTAAAGCTTTGTTAGCTGAGCCAGCCAATGGAAAATCAGCAGCAACAGCCCCAGTTCATCATGGAACACACAAATAGAAGAGATTTCATAAGCCAGTGATCTGATGCTAACAGTATTTGGCTTAATTCTCCTAACACCATTCAAGGTAAAACACACACAGACACACACACACACAGACACACACACACACACACACACACGAATTATTGAAATGACTTGGCCTCTTCAAAAAGTGCCATTTGAAGAAAAGTAGACAATATCTAAAGAAATAACAACCTATACTCTCTTTGAAGACCTGAATAAAAACAAGCTATTTTGGCAGAAGCATTGAAAGTTTTTCTTTCGCGTGCTCAGAAAACAAAATTTGAATCAATTTCTAAACTACAACAGGCTATTTCTTTTTGCTTCTGGGAGTATGCACTGGCCTCACTATTAGCCGCAAACAATGAAAAGACTTGCCTTTGTAAGCCACATAGGTGGCTTAAATACCGATTTTAAGAATTGCTGAAAACCTAGCTTCTTTCAAGAGTACACTGATAATAATTACCATCCTTTTAACATACATTTAATACCATCTTATTTTTCTTTTCTTTTTTTAAAAAATTTTTTAAAAATGTTACTTTAAGTTCTGGGGCATGTGCAAAACATCCAGGTTTGTTACATCGGTATCCGTGTGCCATGGTGGTTAGCTGCACCTATCAACCCGTCACCTAGGTTTTAAGCCCTGCATGCATTAGGTATTTGTCCTAATGCTCTCCCTCCCCTTTCCCCCAACCCCCGAAAGGCCCCAAACACCATCTTATTTTTCTTGTTGGAGAGAGGATGAGAGGGAACAGCTGATGGGAAGAGTAACTGAGTTTCAAATTGCAGTTCTCTGGAAATAAGCCCCACAATATGATGCAAATAACAAGTCACAGATGACAGTATAGCCACTGTTGGAGGGTAGGCTGTCTTTAGGCTAAGCATTCAAGAAGCCCTTCATGTCAAGCAAGCCTCAGCTTGGACAATTTGATACGCTTTTTTTTTCTTTCCTTTTTTTTTTCTTTTTTTTTTGAGATGTAGTCTTAACCTGTTGCCCAGGCTGGAGTGCAGTGGCGCAATCTCAGCTCACTGCAACCTCCACCTCTGGGTTCAAGTGATTCTTGTGCCTCCGCCTCCCAAGTAGCTGGGACTACAGACATGCACCACCATGCCCGGCTAATTTTTGTATTTTTAGTAGAGATGGGGTTTCGCCATGTTGGCCAGGCTGGTCTCAAACTTCCAACCTCTGGTGATCCGCCTGCCTCGGCCTCCTGAAGTGCTGGGATTATAGGTGTGAGCCACTGTGCTTGGCCTTTTTTTTTTTCTTGACAGAGTCTCACTCTGTCACCCAGGCTGGAGTGCAATGTTGCAATCTCAGCTCACTGCAACCTCTGCCACCCAGGTTCCAGAAATTCTCTCACCTCAGCCTCCCGAGTAGCTGGGATTACAGATGTCCACCACCACGCCCAGGTAATTTTTTTGTATTTTTAGTAGAGACAGAGGTTCACCATGTTGGCAAGGCTGAGAGGCTGAGGCGGGAGGATCACCTGAAGTCAGGAGTTGATAAGCTATTTTTTATTGCACCTGTGTATGGCACACTACCATGGCCACCCACTCAGTATACACAAGACTGCAGTGTTTCAAAGACACCGAGCAAATTGAGGTTCCCACAGATCTCCTGAGAGCTGATCAAAATTAAAATTCTCATTTCTGGGCTAGCAGGCTTTCTTTTGTTCCCAGGTAAGTCTTGGAATTTTCTGGAGAACTTCTGACAGGAGAACTTCTTGGCAAATGACCATTTTGTTCAAAAAATAAACTAGAGCTATTTTTTCTTCTATGGCATGCAAGAAACAAGTTGCCATAAAGAGAGCAAGAGCTTACCCTGGTTAAATCAAGGACGTTGGGGAAGGTGTCATCTCTGTGTCAATACCATGGCTTGGGCGTCAGAGACTCGACCAGGGAATTCCGTATATCCATGTTTTGCGGTAAGAACAAACACGAGACTAAAGTGTACATTCTTGTTTCTTCATTTAATAGCTTTTTAAGGTAGGTAAATTAACTGGACAGGTGCCTGAGTTTTTTTACACCAGTTAAAAGAAAATAATAATATCCACCAACAGGGCTGTCCTGAGAACAAATGTGCTGTGTAGACTGTAAAGTCACATTTACAACTAAGGTATTAAAATCCTTCCTCAGGCCGGGTGCAGTGCCTCACACCTGTAATCTTAGCACTTTGGGAGGCCTGGGCAGGCAGATCACCTGTGGTCAGGAGTTCGAGACCAGCCTGGCCAGCATGGTGAAACCCCATCTCTACTAAATATACAAAAATTAGCCAGGCTTGGTGGCATGCACCTGTAATCCCAGCTATTCAGGTAGCTGAGGCATGAGAATCGCTTGAGCCTGGGAGAAGGAGGCTGCAGTGAGACAAGACTGCACTACTGCACTCCAGCCTGGGCAACAGGAGTGAAACCCTGTCTCTCAAAATAAAATAAAATAAAATAAAATCCTTCCTCAAAATAGCTAATGGATGCTAGGCTTAATACCTGGGTGATGGGGTGATCTGTGCAGCCAACCACCATGGCACATTTATCTATGTAACAAACCTGCGCATCCTGCACATGTACCCCGGAACTTCAAATAAAAGTTGAAGGGTGGAAAAAAACCACTTCCTCGTTCTGGTCAAAATAGTGATGGAGAGAGTTAAGGGACCAGGTTCAACACATTCGTCCGGAAAACATCTCGACCCAGAAACTTCCTTTCATTGGCTGGGAGCTGTCCGAGGTGCTCTGGTTGAAGCTTCATGAGTTACTTCAAGACCTCCCTCACAGTAGTGCTGCCATTTAACAGTGTAGGCAAAAGGGCCACAACCTTGGTTTGAGTTATTCAGTCTCTACCCAGGTAATCTTTGGCAAGTTACTTCATGCCTCTAATCCCCTTTTGCTGGTAATTGTTTTACCATTAATGTCTCTGATCCCCATTTGCAGACATGGCTGGTAATACCTACCTTAAAGTACTGCTGAGAGGGAGAAATGAAAAGGCTTGGTATAAACCAAGGATTTGGTAAATATTCTGCCTTCATTATTACAAGAAAGATGAAAAAGAGAGGACAGATCTCCTGCCACAACTTCCACATTGGCAAAAATGACCCTGCATCCCACTGTTTTTATGGATAAAGGGGATGGGATCAGAGCCAGAGGTCTTTCCATGGACCTTGTGAGTCAAAGCTTCCCACAGAGTGGAACGAAGTTGCTGCCTGTATTTTCTTCCCTACACACGATTCACCAGTGCTTTAGATCTTCAGGGGCAACTCTAAGCTCTTGCTCCCTGTAGTGTGCTCAACTTCTAGGGCAGAACCATGGAGAGGGCTTCTTCCCTTCTTTCCGAAACTGTGTGGTAACCCCGTAAATGTGGGGACACATTTAATCAGTGTAGAAGCCCTCTTAGTGGCTATTTGGAGTAAAATGGAAAGGGGGCTGGGCTTGGTGGCTCACACCTATAATCCCAGCACTTTGGAAGGCCGAGGCAGGCAGATCACTTGAGGTTAGGAGTTCGAGACCAGCCTGGCCAACATGGTGAAACCTCATCTCTAATAAAAGTACAAAAATTAGTCTGGCGTGCTGGTGCGTGCCTGTAATCCCAGCTACTTGGAAGGCTGAGACAGGATAATCACTAGAACCCAGGAGGCGAAGATTACAGTAAGCCAAGATTGCACCACTGCACTCAAAAAAAAAAAAAAAAAAAGAAGAAGAAGAAGAAGAAGAAGGGTCTGCACACTTGAGAATAACAATATACGTGGGAAAATTAACACACGGATGGGCTCTAGCTATGGAATAAATTCCAGTTAAAATCTCTTCAATGTATCTAGGAAGCACACCCTAGAAAGATAGACTTTTCTGTACTAACCTTCTTTTTAATACTAACTTGGGTAGCAAAGATCCACTGCAGATGAATTAAGAAGGGAAGGTCTACAGTGAATGAACATCTTCAGCCTGGAAAGCCGCTGGAACGATCCTAGAATTAAAAAGCCAGCCTCCAGGGCAAACCACACCTAAGCCATTAGGAGTAAATGAGGGAAGAGTGCGGAAACAAGAGCAGAATTCAGCTCTCCTGGCTCTCAGCCCCTCTTCTGACCACTGAAATGAATTTCCCTTCAACCACAGAATAAAAAATAATTGGATTTCTCTAAGTCTTATTAAGGTGTAACTTGCAGTTCAGAAGAACCTGTATGTTTAACTTTATTCCTCGTCCAACCCAGAGGGACTAAAATGAAATAAAAGACTAAGACAACAATGCTGGAGCTGGGAGCTCGCTGCACCCCCTCCTCTCCCTGCACCCCTTTCCCTTCCCAGCACCCCTTTCCCCTCCCTGGACCCCCCTCTCCTCCTAGCACCCTCCTCCCCTCCCCACACCCTCCTCGTCTCCACGCACCCCCTTCCCCTCCCCGCATCCCCCTCTCCTCCCCGCACCCTCCTCCCCTCCCCGCATCCCCTTCCCCTTCTGCACCCTCCTCCCCTCCTCTCACCCCCCTCCCCTCCCTGCGCTGTAATTGCGCTTCGGTAGCAGATAAAGGGACGGAGAACACTGCAGCGCCGCCTGAATACAAAACCAAGGCCTCCTCTCCTCCTCCCATAATTAATCTTTTCTGCGTTCCGCAAGGACCATCCTCTGCAGTGTTCAGCATTTGGCTGGGACTTTGACGTTTTGTTATCGCCATCACTCTCTTTGTTTTTTGGAAAAGAAGAAAAACCCATCCGTGGCACATGGACCCTACACGGGGGCAGCATCCCATGTAAAATTCATGTAGCTCTCTTCCTCTAGCCACCTGAGCATCCTTTCATCCCTAAAGAACCCGGGAAAGGCAATGCCAAGCTGTATTCTTTCCTAGATGGCAGTCCCAAATATTCGTACTGATTCATGACGCAGATTACTCTTTAATGAGTGGAATACTTTTCTCAAGCCACCAAAAACATCGTGTGCATGCAGATACTGCATTTATGCACCGAAAGAAACCAATATTTCTGAACTCCTTTACCCTTCACTGATGTGGTTTCCATGGAAACCATAACATTAAGCCAGGCAGTTACTTACTTCCACATTACATAATGTTATCTAATGCTTAGTTACTCCTGAACAAACGTGTTTATTCAGTAGTTTTTTGTCCATGTAATCAACCATATCTACTTTGATTTGATTAAACAGGGAACAGTGGCATAACATCATTTACTGCAGTATGCTTTGTGTCTGCCACTCATCCAGAAAATGACATGCTGTGTATTTGCCAAAGAAGAGGACGGTGTGCACGGGAAGTTGTGGGAAGAGATTCTGGCAAAGCTGATGCAATACGTGGTTATGGATTAGAGTAATTAAGATTAAGAGGATAGGAAGTTAGAAACTAGAGCAGAAATATGGAACATGAAATTGCAACAGTTTTGATTCTCTTCCTCCCCCTTCTTTGTATAAAAAGAGCAGGAGATAGCTCAGGTTCTCGGGAGGTCTGTATATATTGGTAAAATAGTTCAGGAAAAAAATGTTTGCCATGAAAATTCTTGTTGCAGTTAGGAACGTTACTTCCCATATTAGCAGTAGGCTCTGTCGCACGATTACTATTGATTTGCAAGTGATTTCTAGAACATAATAGATGACCCATTCTCCATCACCCTGAGGCATCTTCCTTTTTAATACGGCATTAAGCAGTCTCTTCATCCCACCTCTGGATCCTTTCTAACATCAAAACTGGAAAAAGATTTTCCCCATCACCCAACAGAGCTACTGTCTTCTTTTTCTTTCAAACTCTTAAGTGCTTTATCTATCATTTTTGCTCATTAAAAAAACACACATCGGCCGGGTGCAGTGGCTCATGCCTGTAATCCCAGCACTTTGGGAGGCTGAGGCGGGCAGATCACGAGGTCAGGAATTGGAGAGCAGCCTGGCCAACATGGTGAAATCCCGTCTCTACTAAAAATACAAAAATTAGCTGGGCATGGTGGCGGGCACCTGTAATCCCAGCTACTTGGGAGGCAGAGGCAGGAGAATCACTTGAACCTGGGAGGCGGAGGTTGCAGTGAGCTGAGATCACGCCACTGCACTCCAGCCTGGGCAACAGAGCACGATTCCATCTCAAAAAAAAAAAAAAAAATCATTTTTGCGTTATTCCTCTATGAGTGAAAATGATGGATAAAGCTCTCAGACATAAATAATGCTTGTTGAGAAAAAATTCTTTAGGAAGTATTGATGCTTGATTTTGCTCATAGGTAGGGCCCACTGTCTACACATAGCATGACCTGGAGGAACTTATTTTTTCCTTCCCTTCCTTCCTTCTTCTCTCTCCCTCAGCTTTTTTTATTTTCTTTCTTTCCCTCCCTCCCTCCCTCTCCCCCTCTTCTTTCCTTCCTTCCTTTTTTCCTGTCTGTTTTTTAAAAAATAATTAGTGTTTTAGATTGATGTTAAAAGAATTTATTGAGAAATAAATTAAATCCATAAGCTGACTTTTTAAAAGCAACCAAATTTCTTTATAACTATATAACCTATTTAATAAGTTTCTGCTTTGTCCTCATCAAGTGTATTCTTATTAAGGACATGATGGTAATGTGTATAGTTATTTTAGAAAAAATAATTTACTTTGGAAAAAAAAGAGACAGACACACTAAATGTCCATTAAAACTGCTCCAAAATCCCACCCCCTCAAAAATGGCTTGTGCCATGTTTATGCAAAAGGCAACAGCATTTAGCGAGAGTTCCGGAAGAAATACCGCTTCCTGCAGTTGGTCTGTATCCCTTTCTTTCCACTTTTCCTCCTATCTCTTGATTCTCTCCCACTCTGCCCTGACCCATCACTTTCTTATGTCAGCGTCCTAATTTTTTTTACAAGTAGTTTCTTAGTTTTTGTATTTGTAAAAGCTCAAAGTTGAGTTTTCCTAAGATCCTAGAGGTGTCACTGTCCTACAATCTTGTCTGTCCCCTGCTCTCTCTTCTCATTTTGCTCTCCCTAACTTCTTCAAGTTAGCACGGGCTGTTCTCATCAGCTTTGTCTTCTGTTGTATTCTTCCTCCCCCACTTCCTTCCTCACCCTCTGGGCATCACAACCTCCCAGCCCACTCACCTCTTAAAAGAAGGTTCAGTTCAAGCATCAAATCCTGAATCCAGTCTCCGCCACCTGGCATCCTCCCCGCAGCCCCCATACCCGGCTGGGTTTTCCCCTCTTGCTTCCAGTAGGCTCTCCGGCTTGTATGCTGCTTTCACGGCATCTGTAAAATACCACTTTGTCAGTTGTTGATCAGTCTCTATGCATTCGTTTATTGAACAAATCCTTATAGGGTTCTACCCTGGGTCAACCCAAGACGTGGGTCTACAGAGGTGAGGAGGCCAATGAGGTCCCCATCCAGAACTTTCCCCTCCTCTAGCTTGCATCTCTTTATATATCCTTTTGCCTAGCTCAGTGTCCACAAATCGGGGCCTAGCAACATTTATTTGTTGAATTGCCTTTAAAAACTTCCAGTTTTATTACAGGTCATTACTTAAATTTTAGAAAACAAGAAAATACAAATTAACAGAGTATGGGTAAATAACAATTCACTCATACTCTCACTAGCCAGAAATTAACACTGTCATAGTTTTAAACACGTTTTCCAAGAAAATTTCTTTAGATATTAATATAAATCTTTTTAAAATGGAATTATATACCACACGTTTTTTAATACTCAATTCATAAGCACTGCTGTCAGCATTCTGACTGGTTTCATGTCATGTTGGAATAAATGTTTCTGAATGAGAAGACACTCCAATGGATCAAGTGACTTTTTAGCAATTTTTGCCTTGGGCCTCGTTCAATATATTTTACAACCATATCAGCAGTGAAGTCTTTCCTGACTTTTCCCACTTATCTGGAAACAGGAGCAAGAAGGAACATAGGAACTTGAGTCCCTGAAGACAGAGCTCAATTTCAAGAAAACAAATGAGGATTAATCATGCTTCATCTGTGATTTCTAATCCAAAGTTTCCATTTGCAATCAGTCGGACACCTTGAAGGTCTAATATTTAAACCCTTTATTTGAGTGATATCTGATTTTTCACTCAGAAGATTCTTGTAAAAGCAAATTTCAGAATGTAGAATCAGGTACCTCGACTTTCAAATGCTGGTCCTATTTGGAAATGTTGGGAAACCTTTAGAAAAGTTATTACATATGTTTGTAAGATGAGACTAATAATAGAAGATTAATTGAACTAAATACATATATTTGTATTTAACAAGTATAATACCATACTTCTCTCTCTCTCTCTCTGTCTACACACACAGAAACAACCCAAACACACAAAGATCAATACTGATCTCCTTTGGAAAATGTTTAGGTGTTTTTCCCCTAAAGTAATGCAATATTAATTACATTCCTCCTTTATGTCTCGCCCCCACCACTTTCTATTAAAATGCTTTCCACTGACTGGATATCAAATCAACTTATTCTTTTCTTTATAATTCTCTATAATTTACTTGTCTTCTAGTATAAGAGACTTCCTCTCCTTTAAGCCTCATGTTCTCCACACTTAGAATTTTGGTAGTATCCATTTTGCCATTGTTCAATGATATAATCACATAGGAGAAAATTTCGATTCTTAATAGTCCTAAATGATTCTAATCCTTTAACACTTCTGTGATACATTTTATTTGAGGAGTTGAATTGTTAACTATTTTGTAAAATGAAATTTAATACAGAGAATTGCAAAAGAAGAATGTAAAAATAGTGGACATTGCTAGCATTACCCTAATTCTCTTTGATTGTTCAGAATTTTGCAATTTAGTTCTGTTGGGAAACACAGTATGTGCAAATGACAGATGGCTCGGGGACTGCCTTATCTGATATTCCAAAATCACAAGGTGGAATGATTTAGTTTTCACATGCTCCAGCGGGAAACCCAGAAATTAGACAAAAAGGAAACAAAGCTGACCCTTCCAAATGTGGGGTTCTGAGTGAAAAGAGCCCCAAGCAACCAGTTCACCCGCGTCAAAGGGAGAACATAGTCAAGAGTGTGAGGGACACAAAGCAAAGGAGGCTGCCCATCTAGAGTCCCTTTTTCTCTTCTTCATGGCTGCACTGCAACTCCAGTGGCCTTTGCACTGTGTTGCACTCATTAAAGAAAGGATCTGTGTATTTCTGCTGTTAACAAATCCAGACCGCTTGCTGGAATGTTTGCATTAGCATAAGAAACATTGTGATTGACAGGTAAGGTCAAATCCAACCCAGTACACTTTCTGTGGTGGTGATATAGGTGGGATTTTTTTTTTTTTTTTTTTTTTTTTTTTTTTGGCGAGGAAGATTAGATAGATAGATAGATAGATAGATAGATAGATAGATAGATAGAGATGATGGATGGATACATGGATGGATGGATGGGTGGACAGATGGATAGATAGATAGATGGATAGATAGATAGATAGATAGATAGATAGATAGATAGATAGAAAATATGTGTATATATTATATATAATGAAATTTAAAAACTCTACTTTTCTACAATTAGATGCCTGCATTTACCTAAATATTTTTGGATGTGTTCATAAACCTGTTTTCAAACTAAATGGTTCAGATTTTATTGCCTACTGCATTTATCTTCTAAACACCTCTTTCAGTATAACATACATATATCCTTACACCTGACTTTTTATAATTTGGGTCTGCATGTGTGTCCACATCTAGTCTTTGAAGTAACTAGGGCTTCTTATCTCCACTTTATAGGAAAGGCAGCCGAAAGGTCAGAGAACATGCCCAAAGTCCAACAGTTAGTAAATCAGTGATGCTCCTTTTGTAAAATGAAAGCTATAGAGTCTGACCACAGAAAAATGCAAAGATACACAAACTTTACATATAATATCTGGAATTGTAGACTTCCGAAAGCCCAGTTCTGTAACTTCAGTTTAGAAACCCCTGTAATAAATGAAAAACGTAGGATTCGCACCCCCAGTTCTAGATGCAGGTCTTGCATACCTGCCCCCAGCCCACGATGTTCCAGTATCTAAGCTCATGTTCACTTGGTCTGTGTCCGTTTATATATATTTTTTCTTTTACAATGTCCTTGCTCACTTTTTTTTTTTTTTTTTTGAGACAGAGTCTCGCTCTCTCACCCAGGCTGGAGTGCAGTGGCACAATCACGGTTTACTGAAGCTTGGACCTTCAGGGGTCAAATGATCCACCTGCCTCAGCCGCCCGAGTAGCTGAGACCACAAGTGCGTGCCACTACACCTGGCTAATTAAAAAAAAAAAATTTGGGGGGGATGGAGTCTCACTCTGTCACCCCGGCTGGAGTGCAGTGGCGCAATCTCGGCTCACTGCAAGCTCCGCCTCCCGGGTTCACGCCATTCTCCTGCCTCAGCCTCCCGCGTAGCTGGGACTACGGGCGCCCACCACCACGCCCGGCTAACTTTTGTATTTTTAGTAGAGACGGGGTTTCACCGTGTTAGCCAGGATGTTCTCGATCTCCTGACCTCGTGATCCACCCACCTTGGCCTCCCAAAGTGCTGGGATTACAGGCGTGAGCCGCCACGCCCGGCCTTAAAAATTTTTTTGTAGAGACGGGGTCTTGTTGCCCGGGCTGGTCTCAAATTCCTGGACTCAAGGGATCCTCCTACCTCAGCCTCCCAAAGTAATGGGACTACAGGCATGAGCCACTGTGCCTGGCCCTTTTTTTAAATTCCCAAGCAGCAACACAGTTTTTTGCCTGCCTGATAGAAAAGTTCTCCAGCCCTGAGTCCTGTTGGAACACCTCTGGGGGAGCCTGCAGCAACCTGCGCAGGGGCTTCCGTGAGGATTTATGTGGAAAGGAGCACAGTGCTTTAAACCCAAGGTGCCTAGAGATTCCCCTCCTAACTCTAGACAATAGGCCATTGAGTCCACATCTTCTGAGCATGAAATCTTCCCTTAATCTTTGGCTGTTTCTCTTTTCTACACATTAACCATTCTGTGTAGCGATCACCAATTGTTGTCACTGATCTACTATTGCCTGACTTGTCTTAGATATAACTAATAGGCTTCTCATATGCATGTAGATACTAAAATCCTAAATAAACTATGAACAATTAAATATTATGTATATTAAAATAATGACCAAGTCAGGCTTATCCTCGTACTGCAAATACTATGCAACGTTAATCAGGTAATTGGCTTAACAGGTTAAAGGAGAAAAATCATGTGATCCTCTCAATTGATGCTGAAAAAGCATTTGATAAAATTCAGGACCCATTTGTGATGAAAATGCTTTGCAAGTTAGGAATAAAAGGAAACTATTTTTAACATAATATTTGAAAGTGACATATTAAAAATACATATTCCCATTATAATTTTAAAAGGCAAGTTATCTCTGCTTGCTGTTACTGTTGCCATCCAACATTATTCTACCAATCATTGCTAATGCAAAGGAATAAGAAGAAACAGGACCCTAAATATTCTAAAGGATGAGACCAGTTTTTTTTTTCTCACCAAATGTCTAAAAAATGCATTGACCTTTCATACTCATAACACTGTTGTGGAGTGAGTATAATATTGTCTTCACTTGCCCAAGCTCTTCAAGCCAGCAAGATCTGAAGCCAAGATCTGACCTCAGGCAGTCGGAAGCCAGGCCCAAAGGATTCATCACCATCCTATTACCTCCTATGTGCTGCTTGGAAATTAAAACAAATAACTGCATTAAAATGATCAGGGTTATGAAAAGCAGGCATCAAAGTTTTCTAGCTATTTATCCTGTATCTCTAAAAAAAAAAAAAAAAACTGGGAAGTTTGCTTTTAAATCAGAGGTTTTGTCCTAACTAAAAAAAGAGAAAGAATATTCTTTACCAAAGTAAAAGCTAATGGCTGGGTGCAGTGGCTCAAGCCTGTGATCCTAGCTCTTTTGGAGGCCAAGGCAGGCAGATCATTTGAGGTCAAGAGCTCAAGACCAGCATGGCCAACAAGGCAAAACCCAGTGCCTACTAAAAATACCAAAAAAAAAAAAAAAAAAAATTAGTTGAGCGTGGTGGCACATGCCTGAAGCCCCAGCTACTTGGGAAGCTGAGGCAGGAGGATCACTTGAGCCTGGGAGGTAGAGGTTGCAGTGAGCTGAGATTGTGCCACTGCACTCCACCCTGGGCAACAGAGTGAGACTCTATCTCAAAAACTAAAAATAAATAAAAAATAAAAGAAATGGCTGGGTGCAGTGGCTCATACCTGTAATCCTAGCACTTCGCAAGGTTGAGGTGGGAGGATGGCATGAGCCCAGGAGTTCGAGACCAGCCTGGGCAACATAGAGAGACCTTGTTTCTCCAAAAACAAAAACAAAAAAACCAAAAAAAAATTACAAAAATTAGCTGGACATGGTGGTGTGAACCTGTAGTCTCAGCTACTTCAGAGGCTAAGGTGGGAGGATTGCTTGAGCCTGGGAACTGGAGGCTACAGTGAGCCATGTTCACACCACTGCACTCCAGCCTAAACAACAGAGTGAGACACTGTCTTAAAAAATACAGCTAGAATAGAATAGAATAGAATAGAATAGAACAGAACAGAACGTACTAGCATAACAGGAGGATGGCAATGAGCACCAAATCCTCACTGACTTCTAATTTGTGGAATTCAGACCAAGAAAGGATGTACCTTTGTTTATTGTTTTTTATAAGACCTTATGGGTCAGTTGAACTCTCACCATTTTTCTAATATAAAATGAAGAGCATGTTTTTTGTCCTCACTCAGAGGGTCCTGGCGAGCCTAATAAGTGAGTGTCCTCGAGCATGTCCAGTGATTCGGCAGCTGGAGAGGCTCGACAGGCACCGCAGGACCCCTCAGCAAGCCACTTTTGTTTCCATTTCACCTTCTGTCCTGCCTGTCAACATTTGTCCTCCAACTTTTAATAGAAACTACATCAGATGAAGAGAAGGAAAAAATAAACCTATCTGGGCTGCTAAATTTTAATTTTTCAAAATATAGTTGGCTTCACTGTCTCAAGTTAATTTCGTTGCACACAGCTTAAAGCCCTGCTGAATTTTTCACTGTGTGAGTGGTTAAATTGCATTTCCTTTTCTTCTACTGGTAAAAGCAGTGTTAGGTTTGAGTCTTTTGCTGTGTCCTTAGAAAAGAAACTGCATCACCAAAACTGGTACTTAGAAAGTAGGATTTGAAGTTGTCAGAGAAGCTCCGAACCATATTTCAGAAAACAATATGCATTTTCTGTATTAAAGTACTGAGTGATTATTAAGTGAATGTTATGAATACTGTGTAGTGTAGACTTTCCCTGGTTCTTCATCATCTAGTTTACTAATATAAACCATTGTAATAGCAACATGCAGATTTTCCTACTCATTTTAAAATTCATAGTTTTGGCTGGCTGCAGTTGCTCAAGCCTGTAATCGCAGCACTTTGGGAAGTGAAGGTGGGAGGCTTGCTTGAGGCCAGGAGTTTGAAACTAGCCTGGAGAACACAGTGAGACCCTGTCTCTGCAAAATGAAATAAATTAGCTGGGCGTAGTGGTACACACCTGTAGTCCTAGCTACTTGGGAGGCTGATGGGGGAGGATTGCTTGAGCCCAGGAGTCTGAGGTTGCAGTGAGCCAGGATCACACCACTGCACTCCAGCCTGGGCAACAGAGTGAGACCCTATCTCTAAAAATAAATAAATAAATAAATAAATAAATAAATAAATAAATAAATAAAATACATGGTTTTAATTTTACCCTAGACTGTCACATTGAGGTGAATCATGTCTGAACACCTACGGAGGTTAAATGGGAGATTTCAAATTGCTTCTACAACAACTTATTTCTGCAGAGTATGGGGGCCACATTGAAAATGGGGTGCAAAACTTGTCAGAGGATCCTTTGCCCCACTCAGTTTGGGGAAACATGGAGTTCTCCTGAGAAAACAAGGTTGCCTTATCTGCTTGCTGTTGTCACTGCACCTACAGCTTCTGACACCGACAATTTCTGAAACTGTCCTCCTTTTAATAAATGAAAGTACAGATAGCATAAGGAGCCGACACTAGAATGTGGTTGAATTACAGAATTATATATATATATGTATGTATATATATATATACACACAACCTCCCTCAGTTCCATAGTTTTATCATATGGCATGGATGCAGATTTTCTCTGTTATATTTGATTCCTTAAAACTCAGGGTTAAGGTGAGTTTGATTGTGAGCTTAAAAATATATGTGTATTCTCAGCCTGGTTTGCTCATTCTGAGCTGAGCCCATCAAGACGTCATCTTCTCTGAACACGTTCATGAATATGACGGCTGCTTGGCAAGGGGAAAGGAGCTCTATCTAATGCTCTCTCAGCTCTCCCAGGAATACACGTTCTTCTTGCAAAATATTTGTTGCCTGGCCTGACTGTTTGATGCTGTCCTCTGACACGAGTATGAAACTGAGCTTCAGAGGCACCCGTGTTAGGCACCAACCTTGGCATTTACAAGTTCATGGGAACAGATGCCTCACTGTCATCTCATTGTGCTGGACTGCCAGAGGGCGCAGGCAGCTGTGGTAGTCAGCAGCCCATGCAAACCATGAAACATTTCACGCATGTTGTCATGCCATGTACCTTAGATGACAGTCTGATCTCTCACAGGGCTATGCAGAAAAGATTAGCAGCAACACCATCAAGGTCATCGTCATCATCATGCTCATTGTCATCATCATCACTTCTGTGAAGATTAATCAGACACCTGAAATAAGTCAAAAGCCCCAGAAAAAAATAAGGTGCATAGATATGTATCACACAGAACATAGCATTACCCCTGCCTGCAAAAAGACAGCAAAGAGAAAGGGAATGCTTGTTTAATGTTCTGAGTGCTGGGCCTTGTGCTAAGTACTTCTGTGGCATACACGATACTGGGCCTTGTGAAGAGGTTAATAGGCAAAAGGCTTGAGAGTTTCAAGGGAAGATCTTGGCACCCACGTTTGTTCCAAATGAAGAATCCACTTTCAATCCACATCTTATTAAGGATGTTATTTGTCTCACATACAGTTCTAGAATTGGCCCTTTCCATGGCCGCAGTACAGAAGCCAACTCAATGATTAAGATAATATGACCAAAAATAAATCAAGATTTGTGCTTGGATCACCTGGGTCTAAGTCCAGCCCTGCCTTGCACCTGCCACTCTGTTCTCTCTCTCTCTCATCGACCCCATCTGCAGGTGCGGATGATAATAGCAGGGCTATTTCATCAAGAGTGTTGCAGGACTTAAATGAGAATCCAAGTAAGCTCTTGTTACATAAATATGCACAGAATGGCCATGGCCTATTTTTAGTCCAAAAGGGATTCAGGACACAAAATGTTCAGAGCAGCAGAGGAGACGGCAGGTCATGGCGTTGTGCAGCACACAACGAGGCTGTCCCTGAAACAAGTGCTTAGCGGCAGGTGGTGTTTTGCAGAGCATATTGGAGGAAGGAAACCTACTTAAAAATACAAATGACGATGATTATGTGTGAGATTCCCTTTGCGTATATAGGCTGAGAGTGGGAACTTTGATGTGAGCATGTGGTACCCAAGCCCAGGTGAGCAAAGACCAAGAGCAGCAAGAGTGACACAAAAGGGATCAGCAGAACTCGGTCTGCATGGAGGGAGCAGAAAAGCTGACCAGAAAAGAGGCCATTCTTCACCATGTCCTGCTAAGAAGTTTTTCTTTCCTTTCTTTTTCTCTTAAAACATCATTTAAACCAGTTTCTTAATGAAACAGAAGTTAAAATAGATAATAGCTCCCCCCGCCACACAGTGCAATATGCACTTACGCTTTTGTAAATTGCCAAGGAAAATAAATGTAGTTTTCATTCAATTTTTTCATATCCACTAATTGTTAGCAACAACTTCTGGTCATCTTTAGGCCCCCAGGAGCACCTTATTGAAATATTTTATTCAAGATTCCAGGAAGCAAAGAAGTTCAGCTATGCATCTTATGGAAAAGTATGTTGTTCTTCCTGGAAATGTCTCACATCAGGGATTCACGAACTTTCCCACATCTCAGCCCTTCCATAACACAGAGAGGCAGGTGTCTCAATTTTCCCATGAGGAAACAGTTGAAAACCCTGTCTCCAACTTTATATTGCCGTTATCAGTGTCTGTGTCATTCTGCTACCACTTCTACATTCTCTGAAACTAGACTCTCCTTTAATCAATTCGAGTCTATTTCTCTTATCCCTACCCCAAAACCTTTCTAGATCCAGAAGGAAAAAGCTGCTAACATCATCAAATTTCCTGCCTAAACATGAAATTATAATGACCACTCTCTCTAAGATCCATGCCAATTATATATGTACTTTAAAATCCTGACACTTAAAATCTACTCATTGCAGGCCTATGCGTAATACCAATATCTGCCGCTAAATTGCTACTTGCCTTTGCATGTTTTATTGTGGTGTGGTTCTGGTTTGTATTATCAGCTTGTTATGGGCAGGGAAGCATCATAAAGACAGATGGCTTAGATGTGGACTATAAAATGCTTTCTGATCATATGAATAATAGGCATGCGTTCTGGGGTTAATAAGCATGGAAGAGTTTAGAAGACACTCCAAGATTACACGAGTTAGTTACTCTGTGACCAACATGTGTTTGTACTGGGGATATGAAATATATTCTGCTAACCAGAGATCACTGAGATACCTCTTCTTGGATATAGCTCTAAGTTGCCTTTTCTCTTTCTCAATATAGAAAATAAAGAAGCTATGGAAATGTCCCTGCAACTGTGCTCAAGAAAAGGTAGCAGGCCGGGCATGGTGACTTACAGCTGTAGTCCCAGCGCTTTGGGAGGCCGAGGTGGGCGGATCACGAGGTCAGGAGATCGAGACCATCCTGGCTAACACGGTGAAACCCCGTCTCTACTAAAAATACAAAAAATTAGCTGGGAGCAGTGGTGGGCGCCTGCAGTCCCAGCTACTCGAGAGGCTGAGGCAGAAGAATGGCGTGAACCCAGGAGGCGGAGCTTGCGGTGAGACGAGATAGCACCACTGCACTCCAGCCTGGGCGAAAGAGCGAGACTCCATCTCCAAACAAAAAACAAAAAACAAAAAAAAGTAGCAGAAGATCATTCCAGCGATTACAGAAAGCATTTCTTGGCATGGCCACTGAGGGATGATGACATGGGGTCCCCAGCATCTCCATCTGGGATAAACATAAAGTCAGTGGAGGAGATGAGGCAATTTGCCCTGGAAGGTTTCCTTAGCAGAGGAGGTATCAGGCATTCTTCTAGGAGTTTATTGGAATGAATGAAAGCAGAATTACCCAATTCTGGATTTGCTGTATGCTCTCAGAGCACAACAATGACACCATTTTATATTTAGGACTTTTTCTCAGCTCTTTGTATTTCATTTAGTTTTATAAGGAAAATCAAAGGGGAAGAAAAGAATCATAAGTGGACATTTCTGAACCATGTTTCAAATTACTTAGAGAGTCTCAGATATGAAAGATACGTGTATCCCATTTAAGGTTAGAAGGGAACCTCTGAGAGAGCCTGTCTTCTCCCAGAGCACCCATGAATGGTTGCATAGGTTAGGTACAGCACAACTCTAGGGGGTACCATTCACATTGTGGTCACATTGTAGTCTATGTGAATGACACTTAAAGTTGTGCAGTGTGCAACCTGAACAGATGCTCAGATTGCATTGCTCTTTAGTCATAGTATTGATATGTCTTGAAAATTTCAGAACAGGGACTTGAAAAATAAGGGTTCCTATTAAAAGGGTAAGTTGAGTGTTTTCATAGAAAGAAAATGCGTATGGGAGAGCTTTCACCATGACATGAAGAGTTTGAAACCCTGTACCACAACTTCTAAGGGTGGCCTTGTGCGAGTTACCTGACCTCTCTAAACGTTTATTTTGCATTTGTATATAATGTCTAAATCATGTTGCAGAATGCTATGAGGAAGAGTTAACCACCTGTTAGTAAAGCATATTGTGAGTGGTGAGTGTTAGCAATTATAGCCACTGTTATTATGATATGTATCCGGTCAATCAGACATCCTATGGAAATCCTAATGCAATACAGTAGGACAAGGTCGAGAACAGCAAAGAAAAGGGTTCTCTTGGTATGAAGCCTGCAGAGATCTTCATCTAGAAGCCAAAAAGAAATGATTATGAATTTTCAGAGGAAAGAGTCATCAAGCACACTCACAATATGTTCCATTTATGGAGCAAAAGACCCAAGGGAAAAGTTCAGGCATTTTATATGTTTCTATGTGTATATGTGTTTATATTTGTAAACCTTACTCATACAAAGAGGAATTGAGTTGAGTCACCTTACTAAACACAATTTTTTTTTTTCAGACAGAGTCTCACTCTGTCACCCAGGCTGGAGGGCAGTGGCGTGATCTCAGCTCACTGCAACCTCTGCTCCCGGGTTCAAGCGATTCTCCTGCCTCAGCCTCCCGAGTAGCTGGGACTACAGGCGCCTGCCACCATGCCCGGCTAATTTTTTGTATTTTTAGTAGAGATGGGGTTTCACCGTGTTAGCCAGGATGGTCTCAATCTCCTGACCTCGTGATCTGCCCGCCTCAGCCTCCCAAAGTGCTGGGATTACAGGCATGAGCCACTGCACATGTCCTACTAAACACAAATTTATATTTGCATAGTCTGAGGTTTCTTTTCTCAGTGGGCCTGCCATTATAATAAAATATTTAAAAATACAGAAGATAGACATTTGCATGGAAGTGAAATAAGGGTAGGAAAATAGGCGATAGGTCCCAGATGATAGTTGCTAAGATAATGTGATCAGATGCCAGAGTCATGGTGTACATGAAACCAAAACAAATCAGTTGTTACCCAGAGTTACAGATTTTTCTGGCCCTAAGACCGAAGAGAAGTTTATTTCTAGGTGCTCATCAAGAAATGGTTAAATAATAACAAATTATAAGGATTCTGCATTTGAATAAAAGACAAAAGGATTCCCAAACTGAAGAACTAGGACAAATCAATGTGCGTTAGAATTTCTTGCTTATCTTGACTGAGAATTAAGTCACTTCAGGGAACCTAATATTTGCCTTTTCTCCTGGGAGGCAGTTTAGAGATTGAGGAGAGAAAAGGAATAGGAACTTTGCTCTATTTCCATTCTGACCTCAGCCCTATCTTCTTATGGCGAGATTGAATCCACCCCCTACGACGTCACTTTTTGGAAGCTCAAGTCCAGGAGCGTCTCCTCTTGGGAAACGTCCAGGCTGGTGAATAGGGTCTTACCAGGAGCTAAGGATGCCAGCATTTGTGGACTTTTTGTACACAAATGCGTCCTCTGCCATTTGCGTACCCTAAAAGGATCTCTAATTCCCAGATTCTGTGTTCTGTGAATGCAGCAGCTGTTGACTAATGTATTTCACATTGCTTTTGCCCTGAGTCTGTTTAGGGAAAAGGCACAGTTTAGAAGAGTCCAGGAGTAATCAATAAATATAGACTCAGGAGTTTGCTAAAACACCTCTACTAGCTCATTTTAATCCATTTACTCCCACCGAGCTAGTTTCTTGTACAGAAAGGCTAGAATTGGCAGGAAGACCAAATCAGAAAATCTATGACTTGTCTACACAGAATGCAAACAGTAATAAATTGAGACAACTCAGTCTCCAAAATATAGATATACAGAAAATGACATGAAGTATCCATTTTAGTCTTTTAAATATATCCCTCAAATTAAAAAAGAAAGACAAGAGTACAACTTACAGCTTTTCTTTTCCCAAATAGACATCGCCACTACCCCTTTGCTTTTTCTCATCAACATTTTATTCTAAATCTAGGCCCGCACTACAAGAATAACCCAGTTATGAAGCCTCTATGTCTTTTGTATAATCTGTGGCATAACCTCGTTAGATGGGACTTCACTAATTTGAAGTGAGCGATCATTAAGACAGGGGATCACTGCAGTTTTCCTTGGCACTAGCCAGAGAGAAAATGATTTGCTAAGTAAATTAATAGTGTCCATGAGATTTCAAGGGAAATGTTTGCCTACCTTAGAAAACAAGATGTTGTGAAGTACATTAGATCCCAAAGCTATCAATTAAGCACATACTGAATGCTGTTTAAATGGATAGTGTAGCACAGTTTCAGACAGACATGGGGAGCGAGTCCAGCCATGCTACGTGGACGCTGAGTGACCTTGGGCAAGATGCTTCGTCTCACTAAGCCCAGGTTTTCTCCTTGAAAATCAAAATGAAACTATCTCAAATAAGCTAACGGATCAAACACACTGGACAGATCTTAAGTTTCCATGCATATCTGTTGCCTTTCTTCTTCTATTTCTTCCATTTGTTCCAAAATAGCACCTCCACACTGGAGAGAGAAAAGCATTTAGTTACCCCAAGGTAGAGGCCTCCACTTGAAAAGTAATGAAAGCTCTATTTCATTTCAAATTTGCTATTTCACAGAGAGGCCTTTAAGCTGGATGTATGCGATGTGAGTGTACTTTCAAGGTGAAATGAGAGTATCTAAAAATATAACAAGATTATGCTTTGTCCTTCTAAAGTGAGTTGTCTTGAGCATTTCTAGGATGGGCCTAAATAGCTTTAAAAAAAAAAAAAACTGATGGTCACTATTGGGAGTACATTTCAGCACATACATTCCTTAGGAAAGGTACCCAAACTGTTATCTTCATAAATAAAAGGTGTGGTGTTTAAAGCAGGGATGCTTGTGCACGGCTCCGGGTCCTGTTTACCAAGTTGTGCAGCGCTGAGCTAACCATGCCCTAGAGGCCTGCCTCAGACACCACAGTAATGATTCCTGCATACACAAATTCATTAGTTGTTTAATTAAGTTAAATCATGAATTGAATTTGCTTAATCATTAATTAAGGAGCAAGTAGTGCTGTGTTAAAATTTAGCACCTCAGGAAGAAACCAAGAAAATAACAATTCAAACTTCTTTGGACTTTATGCCTCCTAAAAGTCTCCAATTCTGCCCTTGTCCCCACTAGACACATACACACACACACACACACACACACACATACACACATGCAAACACACATACACACACACACACACACACACACAAAGCACACCATTTTCAGAAACACTTTTACCTTTCCATTCCAAACTCTTGGTGGTGTTTTCAAAATCAAAGTGAAAGTCATTCGTTGACACATCATATGTTTGACTTTTGTTCCTTCTACAGATAACATTTTCCATACCTAAGAGAGAAAAACAAATCTACCCTGCTTCACAAGATCAAAATGTTGGCCTTTTTTACTCTCGAAGAACCCATATTCAGTAGAGGGCTCACATTTCAAACCCAACTGGATTCTCAGGAGAACTCTACCAATAATCTCAAATATTTCAATAACCATTTTCAGAGTTCAGGTAACAGTACAGCTAGAATCACAAGCAGAGGTATTTTCAGGACTCCACCTTATCACGACATGGAGAATAAGAAGGAGCCTCACATTTATTCGACACCTAAAATTAAGCTCCTTTTTAACAACCGCCATAAGCTGTTGGCTGCCGCCTGGAGATCTTGGGATTGTGAGAAGGTGAGAAATTGGTCCTTTTCTGTACGACTATCCGCAGTTCCCCAAGTGTGATCTTAGGCAAGACTTAGGAGTCTTCGGAGCCTCCCAGATGGTTCCTATTTGGACGTGGTGAAATGATGCACCATGGCAATTTATTCTGGCTGCTGGCGCTCATCAGTAAGTCATTTATGGCATCTCTTACAAGTGTCTCCCTAAAACAGGGTGCAAATTCTGATGCACTTGATTTCATTTTACATGTTGCCAAGCGGGTATTTGGAGCATTCTCTGTGGTAGCATGACTCAGAGGGCTCGTGGCTGAGAATCCCCTCCTTGGCATAATTGTCCATATCCTTGCCGAAGTGACTGGGTTAGTTGTCATAGCAACAGACACACAAATTATTCACCTGCTTTTTCCTTCTGGCTTTTCAGGGTACAGGACCGTGAAGTGTGGGAAGCCCTCTCTCTAAGGTGCTCCCAGCCAAGGTAGGTGAGTTTTCTCACCTATTACTCCCGAAAGCTGATTTTCAAAAACCTTATTTTCAAGTTGTACCCTAGTGGATCAGTCAGAGCACACACACATTCGAATGACACAGACCCAGACCAAGCAGTCTATACCATGTCAGACCAATGGAGCCACTGTATTTGCTAAGGAAGGTGGTGTCTCTGTAGACTGGAGTGAGAGGAAGGACAGGTAGAAAAGGGAGAGAATCATTTGTCCTCCTAGCTTACTGAATGGGAATAGGGAGCATAATGGTTTGGTAAATTATCTCTCTGCAGAATTCTGATGTTTTTCTGAATGAATCAGAAAAACATGGGCAGGTTTAGTGCCTTAGAATTCATAGATGTAACATATATATAAATATCTACATGGTTAGATATGTGAATCTCTAAATCTGTCTATTTTAATAAATCAGATATTATTTGAGATTATGGCTAATACTTCATAGTTAATATAATTCTACAAATCTGTATTTAGGAGGTAAATACGGATTTACTGCATTTATCTGTGAGTTGGAAAACAGGGTTGCCACATAAGAAATAAGGGTGAAAAAAAACAACAACAAGAAATGAGTTGTCCTGCAGAGAGCCAACGACAAGGATGCTCATGATTATAACACAAAGCACAGAAATGGTGCCCTAAAGAGACATATAAAATGCAGGAAAATGCTGGAGAACAGCTTGGCTTCATAACAGAAGAGCTCAGGAAGAGACTCAGATGGGAGAGGTGTTTATGATGAACCATAGAATAAATAAAGTATTGATGGAGAGAGGATAGCATCAGCCAAGGGTATCTGATGTAAGGAGAATAGAATAAACAAAGACAGAAGTGTAACTTCACTGTGTTACTTCAGAGTGGGAGGAAGAGGGTCAGAAATAAAGCTAGAAGGCAGGTGGCAGGTTGGTACACAAAGGGAGGTTTGGAATGGGTATCAGTCTGTTCTCGCACTGCTATAAAGAATGGGTAATTTATAAAGAAAAGAGGTTTAATTGGCTCACAGTTCTGCAAGCTGTGCAAGAAGCATAGCGACTTCTTCTGGGGAGACCTCAGGAAGCTTCCAATCATAGCAGAAGACCAAGGGGGAGTGAAATGTTTCACATGGCAGGCGCAGGAGGAGGGGGGAGGTGTTACACACTTTTAACAACCAGATCTTGCCAGAACTCACTCACGATCACGAGAACAACACCATGGGGATGGTGTTAAAACATTCATGAGAAACTTTTCTCCATGATCCAATCGCCTCCCATTAGACTCCACCTCCAACATTAGGATTAAAATTGAACATGAGATTTTGGTAGGGACACAGGTCCAAACCATATCAAATGGCAATGAAAAGGGTTATATTTAATCTGGGGAGTCACCGAGAATTTATTGAGCAGGTAAGGACATGATGGGAAAATCACCAAAAAATATTAATGACACCTACTAACAGGTAAAATGAATTGAAGTAGAGAGGATGGTGGACAAGAGACATGAGAGTGGTACCCAAGAATGTGCCATCTAACCAATGACCAGGTGTCTGGCAAAGAAGAAGTGGGTTCAAAAATGTCTCCAGACTCCCTGTGGCTAAAGACGGAACAACTTTAACATCATTAAAAATAACTGCAATGGAGTGGGGCATGCAGAAACACACACACACACACGTGCACACACATACACATATGTGCGCACACACACTCACACATACACATATGTGCACACACACGCACACACATACATACACGTGTGCACACACATACACGCACACACACACACACACAAACTTCTCTGGCTACCTGTGGAGGATATTGATTAGCCAACTCGTTATTTTGAAAATGGATAAATGAAAAGAATCAAACATGAGGTGGCCCTTCTTCTACAAACTGGACCTCAAGGCTACCAAACAGAGGATTTGGAAGATTTCTCCCTATAGAAGCTTTCCAGCCAATGACTTAAGAAGGAAGGGTAGAATACAGCATCACTGTTTTGCAACCCCTAATAAAATCATAGATCCAGGCTAGTGGTTCTCAAAGTCTGGTCCCTGAACCAGCAGCATCAGCATCACCTGAAAGTTTGTTAAAAATGTACATTCTTGAGCCTCATTCAGACCTATTGAATCAGAAACTCAGGTTAGGGCTCAACAATCTGTGTCTTATCAAGCCCTCCGGTGTTCCTGGAGCATGCTCAAGATTGAGAACCACTGACCTGGACAATAATCATCATCGGTTGCTAATATCACAGGAAAACACAGCCCCATGTCACGGGCCTCCTGACGGAAGGATATGTCATCATGCAGTAATTTGTCAAATAATGCATATCATGCCTCTATGTCAAACTATCAATTTATAGTAAATGTAGGGGAGCACAGAATATGCTAAACAAACTTTCATAGAAATGCAATCAATAAAATCCTGACTGTGGAAAACCCTACAGGACAAGCACACTGGCTTCTTCAGCAAATTAATTGTAAGGGTAAGAGGAGAAAGAGAGTGAGAGACTAGGGAGAGAGCATCTATAGACCAAAGGAGGCTGAAGAAACATAACGAGTAATTGAAATGTATGAACCATATTTCAAGTTGATTCATACAAATGACAACTACAGTAAAAAAAAAAAAAAATCAAGACAATTGGCAACTAGGGAAAGGGGAATACTGCCTGGAAATATTGTCTGCTGTTAATCCTTTTCAGAGGAATGATGGAGTTGTGGCTATATCTTGCCAAAAAAATAATGCTTATCTTTTAGAGATAAATACTGAAGCATTTATAGCTTTAAAATGATCTAAGGGGGGTAGATATAGGAAAAAAAGCCACAAGACTGGTTATGATTTGATCATTAATTGCCGGATGATGGGTACAAGGAGATTTATTATAAAATTCTGTTGACTTTTGTAAATGTTTGAAATTTTCCAAAATGATTTTTTTAAGTGGAGAGATTTAAAAGGCATACTATACATACCTCCCCTCAACACACACCTAAAATTTCTCTGCAGTCTGCAAGCAGGATCATTAGAAAAATGGCAATGAGGAGAAAGTCCTGGGGTCGAAGGGAAGAGTAAGTATGTTCTCAAGCTTGTTGGACTTACGGCGCTGGCAGCTCATTCATGGGAAGAGTTCAATCAGCCATTTGGAAAGGCTGGTGTCCAGCCCAGGAGAAAAGTTGGTATTAGAGAATTGCCAGGTTAAATAACATATTTTGTAGATATCAACAGACTCACTCTTAAAAAGGAACACAAGAAAATTATTTGCCAAAATAACTACTATAGTATACTATATTTTGACATAGGAGGAAGGGTGAATGTAAAGGTGAATGCTGGGTTTTATCAATCCACGTGTCACAGCAAATGAATGCTTGACCATTGTGCAAGTCAGGATGGGCTAGGTTATGCACAAGCAAAAAGCAACCGCAAAATATCAATGGCTAAACATTCTTAAAAGTGTGTGTGTAGGCCGGGCGCAGTGGCTCACACCTGTAATCCCAGCACTTTGGGAGGCCGAGGCAGGCGGATCACGAGGTCAGGAGTTCAAGACCAGCCTGACCATGTATTACTAAAACTACAAAAAGTAGCGGGGTGTGGTGGTGCATGCCTGTAATCCCAACTATTCAGGAGGCTCAGGTGGGAAAATCACTTGAACCTGGGAGGTGGAGGTTGCAGTGAGCCAAGATTGTGCCACTGCACTCCAGCCTGGGCGACAGAGTGAGACTCCATCTCAAAAAAAAAAAAAGTGTTTGTGTAGACATATATATGTATACACACATATATACGCAGAGACACAGCTATACATATATGTATATATGTACATATATATGTATACATATTTAAAATGTTGCATTCACATTAAACGGTCAGCACCAGCCAGCAGTGCTCCACCGAAGATTTCATCTTATTTATGTGTACCTCCAGAACTACTGTTTTTTTTGTTTGTTTGTTTGTTTGTTTGTTTGTTTGTTTTAATTTCGAGACAGAGTCTCACTCTGCAGCCCAGCCCAGTCAGAGTGCAGTAGCGCGATCTTGGCTCACTGCAAGCTCTGCCTCCAAGGTTCAAGCGATTCTCCTGCCTCAGCTCCCCCGAGTAGCTGGGATTACAGGCATGCGCCACCATGCCTGGCTAATTTTTGTATTTTTAGTAGAGACAGGATTTCACCATGTTGGCCAGGCTGGTCTCAAATTCCTGACCTCAGGTGATCCACCCACCTCGCCCTCCCAAAGTGCTGGGATTACAGGCATGAGCCACCGCACCCGGCCTAGTACTACTGTTTTCAGGGGAAGAGAATGCGGGTGTATTAGTCCGTTCTCACACTGCTATAAAGAAATACCCAAGAGTTGGTAATTTATAAATGAAAGAGGTTTAATTGACTCACAGTTCCGCATGGCTGGGAAGACATCAGGAAACTTACAGTCATGACAGAAGGGGATGCAGGCATCTCTCACATGGCAGCAGGTGAGAGAGAGGAGGAAACGAAGGTGGAAGAGCCCCTTATAAAACCATCAGATCTTGTGAGAAGTCACTCACTATCACGAGAACAGCATGGGGGGAAAGTGGTCCCACGATCCAATCACCTCCCTCCCTCCACACCTTGGAATTACAATTTGAGATGAGATTTGGGTGAGGACACAGAGCCAAACCATTATCAATGGGATTCGTGCCCTGGATTTTAAAGCTTCTTCCTAGTCAGTTTCATGTCTCTTCATCACATACATTGAACAAAGTAAGTCATCCACAACCAAGTCCAAAAAGAGCAGGGATGGTGCAATCTTGCCAAATGCCCAGGAGAAGAAATGGAACGTTTGTGAACAGCCCTGCAAAGAATGGAGTCCCCTGAAGATTCACATGTTGAAGCCCTAAATCCCAATGTAACTGTATTTGAAGACAGGGCTTTTAACAAGATAATTAAGATTAAATGAGAGCCTAAGGGTAGGCCCTAATCCAATAGGACAGGTGTCCTTATCAGGAGGGGAAGAGACGCCTGGCATGTGCATACACAGAGGAAGGCTGTGGGAGGCCAGAGCGAGAAGACGGCCTTCTGCAAGCCACAGAAAGAACCCTCAGGAGAAACCAGCTCTGGCACCTTGATCTTGGACTTCCAGCTTCCAGAACGGCAAGAAATAAATGTCTGCTGTTGGAGCTGCCTGGTCTGTGTGTCTTGTTCTGCCAGTCTCAGCCGACTAAGACAAACTCAATGGTTATCCCAACCACAGTGGCTGAATCGGTACAGAAAATGCACTCAGCACTATGCATCTTCATTAGATTTCCATGGCATTATACTGAGGCGTAGATGATCTATCAAATTAAATGAACCCAGTAAAAACAAGGAGAAATCAGGTGCAAATAAATACTTTATTAAGGACTCCTCCTGTCTACACCAAAGAGTATTTTCTCAGTGTTGTTTTGCACACATTTCAGATGAGGATAAATAGCCTAGGCGCCAGCTTTCATCCCAACTTACTTTAAAAACAAAAATACTGCCAAGAGAACTGTATTACTTATTTCAATGTAATACGGAAATGACTCAGCACAGAGACCGAATCCTACCTGCTGGCTGATTGCTGTGTGTGTGGATACTTATCCAAGGTTCATCTTGCGTTTTTCATCCAAGAAGCTCACGATGGTTAGCAAACATAATCTGATCATCTTCAAAGGTACAACATGAAGAAATAAATCTTTTATATGATCAGCCTGCAGACATGCAACCTCAGGTGCAAGCCTCACCTGTAAGGTATTTCTTTTCTCACTTTTTATTCCAGCTTTATGGACCTGCTCCAGGCTGATGAAGGTTCCCCACTAGCTCTTACCCCTGACCCTGTAAGGCTTTTTCCCGCTGCCCTGGATTCCCACAGCTTCTGGAAGGACCCCCTTCTTGTGGCTCCTGACAACTTGTCCTTGAGGACTCTGTTTCTGTTTTATACTTGGCATTCAGCCAGGGGCCCTTTTATGCCCTTCCTAGCAGTACCTTTTCACAGCTATAGTAGTATTTCTTTTGTGCATTGAAATTGCCCCCTTTACGTGGGTGCACCCTCAGGTCTCCTCTGGAAAGGGCAGCTATGGACTCAGGGTAGGCAAGGAGCTTGGCTGATGGCAGGGGTGTGGTTTGTTCTTGCCCAATCTGAGCCGAGGCCTGAGTCCTCCCTGTGGACAATTTGTCCAGAACCCTGACAAACTGAGGCAGAATAAAATTTAGACAGAGTGTCCAAAGAGATACCAACAGGCCTTGGGAAATAATCATGGCAAATATTAACTGAGCACTTATGTGCCAGACACAGTTTATATGTGCTTTAGACATGACACACGGTATATGAAAAAGGACGTTTGGCGGTGGGGAAGTACCAAGTATCCCCCATTTCAAAGTCCAGACCATCTATTCAGGACTTGGAAGGTGGTGTCTGAGAGCAAGTTTTGTAATGGTTCGCTGATCTGCTGTCTTCCAGAGTGTGTAATAAACCAGATGGAGGCTGCAGAAAGAGTTGGGAGGACAGACCTTGGAGAGCACTGCTGGCATGCTGAGACCATTGCTCAGGGGCTGTATCTTGCCCACCTTAAACACCTGAGAGGGGTTTCAAGGGGACACATTTATCTGTATCCTCTGAAGCTTGGGTGGCACAGGCAATGGGTATGTGAAGCAAGCCTGGGAGATGTAAGGGTGATATCCTGCGCTGAGGTCCAAGGCCGCAAAGTACAAAAAGATGCGGAACTGCATTGGAGAGACCTGCTCCTGGCCAGCCACATGGGGTGACATGAAGCTTGAGTGGCCATGAGCCAGTGGGTCTCTTTGCACTGGACTTTGTCTGGGAAGACTGCCTGTGAAAAAAGGGAGGCAGAAAAGGATGGATCTTCAGAGGCCCAAGGAAGGAGGGGAGCATCGAAGAGGCTCCCTGGCATGTGCAGGAGCTGCTGTAGGGGTGGACCCAGCTTATTGGGCATCTCACAACCCTCCAAAGAGCCCCATGGGACAGCATCTGCATGGACATCTGCAGAGCCAGAGAGTGTCACTGCTAGATTAAGACAATTCCAGCCACTTACTCTCCTCGTCCCCTGTCCCCTACCTGCCCCGAAGGCACCAAGAATGAGAGTAGGAGTGGGGCAGGGAGGGGCTAAGGAAGCAGCAGACACCGCTCCCCAACTCTACCTCAGGCTTCCAGGTCTAAGTGATACTAACAGAAGGAGAAGCTCTAAATGGAACAAGAGCTCTAACTGCATCATTACACTGCACTGGGTGTTTAAACTACTGAACTACGAGGTTCTTGCAACTAAAATGGACCAGAAACTATAAGACCTGCCTGCCGGGACAGAACAAGAACTGACCCAAACTTGGATTGGAAGGTACAGTGGGAGGAAGAAGAGGGTTGGGTTTACGGTTTTACCCCACTGGGTTCACCTCAAATATGATCAAGTAACATAGTCAGTTACTTGATCCTCACAATTTTCTCAAGAGAAAGATGCAGAGCAGGTCCCTGGATGGCCTTGGTGACCCAGCTCTTCCCTCTTTGTCACTGGTAGTTCTCAGAATAACCTTAGAATGTGCTGGGGATGCAACATCCTGAGATGAGGAGGCACTGGCCAAAACAGCCTGGGTTCTGTTTCTATCCTTCCTACAACGCTTTAGCCCAGGAAGCCAAGTTTTCCCTGGAGTATAAAACCCAGGGTGGAGAGCTTTTGCAGTCCATCGGCTGCAGTAAGCAATGTGAGACTGCATCTGCCCTGACAGTTTCCTGAGCCTTGGGGGACTGGTACACCGTGACCCCTAGCTTTCTCCTGTCCCTTGCTGCCTATCCATGAGTCATAAAGCCACTTTGCTTAACTTGTTGTGTGGGGGCTCGCTCTCACCTGTCTTGTGCAAGTGGTAGAAACTGCAGCCCCAGATGCAGAATGCTGCAGTGTTGGAATAGTGTGCACAGTGAGCCAGCTTTACAATAGGTGTAATAGCTGATGATATTTTACTCAAGAGAAGGCTGAGGCTCAGAAATATTCAGCACAACAACCTCTTAGACCATATGGCTAGTGGGAGGTAGCATCAAGATCCACAACCAGGTAGTTCATCCCCACAGCCACATCCTTAACCACTGTATTATAGCAACCTACCAAATTGTGTAGAAGGAACATTTAAAGCCAGAGCATTTAGGCTAAAGTCCTGGCTTCAGCCATAAGTAGCAGTTTAACTAGGGGAAATTAACTAAAGCTCAAGTATGATCATCAATAAAATAGGGCTAAAAACATCTTCCACGTCTACTTCTTAGAACTTTACTAAGATTTAAATTACATAATTCTTATGAAAATACAGATTACAGATTGCTTTAAAAAAAAAAAAAAAGTAGACGACCGGGTGCGGTGGCTCACGCCTGTAATCCCAGCACTTTGGGAGGCCGAGGCAGGCAGATCACGAGGTCAGGAGATTGAGACCAGCCTGGCTAACACGGTGAAACACCGTCTCTACTAAAAATACAAAAAAAATTAGCCGGGAGTGGTGGTGGGCCCCTGCAGTCCCAGCTACTCGGGAGGCTGAGGCAGGAGAATGGCGTGAACCCAGGAGGCAGAGCTTGCAGTGAGCCGAGATCATGCCACTGCACTCCAGCCTGGGCGACAGAGCAAGACTCCGTCTCAAAAAAAAAAAAAGGAGATGCTTAAATAATATTGTCTACTAAATGTATTTGGGTTGTCACAGTAACTTCTTTTAGAAGGAAAACTACAATGGAAGAAAGATAATGAAAAAGTCTTTAATGATACTTTGAAATTTTAAAAACATTATTTTAAAAAATTGAAAATTTTTAAATTTTAATTTAAACAAAAAGTTATTGTTGCTGATGCCCTGTCTCAGGGATTGCCATCGAATCCAGTGACAGTTTTATACCGTTTAGTATCAATGGTTCAAATTTATTCTATTGAATACACAACAACATCCAAGTCACATTCCTCAGGGCATAAAATCTATTGCCTGAGTGAAAGGGGCTACCATACATCTCAAGCCCAAGAGACAGCAAGCAAAAAGAATTGTTTCTGAAGAAATAAAGTTGTTTACATAAATGTCTTCATACAGTACTTTTAAAAAGAAGTTTACCTTTTTAGGCTTTGCAAAAAAATAGAAGGAGCATGTCTCAAGACCAGATGTGACAATTTTACTTTGGTTTTATTTGTCTTACTCACATTTCCAAATGATGATTGAATCTCCTAGAGCCTCTTAGTTCTAGCCTTGGACACTTCGAAGATCATGGGCTAAAACCTACACATGGCATAGGCCTTTCTTTTAAAATAGGAAAATAGTCTGGAACTAGAAGATCAACCCTTGAGGAGATAGGACTTGCTTGTAGAGTTTTGGAACCCACCATGAAGAAAATCTTATTGTACATGTTAACAACTAAACATAGTAACACATTAGCCAGGCATGATGGTGCATGCTCATAGTCCCAGCTATTCAGGAGGCTGAGGTGGGAAGATCACTTAAGGCTGGGAGCTCGAGTCTTGCATGGACAACATAGGGAGAGAGATCTCACCTCTTTAAAAAAATTGATTCATTCATTTAATAAAAATCTTAGGCCAGGTGGGGTGGCTCATGCATGTAATCCCAGCACTCTGGGAGGCCAAGGCAGGTGGATAATTTGAGGTCAGGAGTTCAAGACCAACATGGCGAAATCCCATCTCTACTAAAAATACAAAAATTAGCCAAGCATGATGGCACACACCTGTAGTCCCAGCTACTGGGGAGGCTGAGGTGGGAGAATTGCTTGAGCCCAGGAGTCAGAGGTTGCAGTGAGCCGGGATCATTCCACTGCACTCCAGCCTGGATGACGGAGTGAGACTCTGTCTCAAAAAAAAATAAAAATAGAAATTGAAAATTTTAAAAAAAAACTTAAAAAGTAGATCAGGAAGAGTAGTAGTTATTATTTTTAAGAAAAGAATATTAACATATTGGAAATCTGAAGCCTATCCACAGGTAGAATTGGCAGCTGGATAATTTCATACTGGTAAGAAGAGAATATTGTGTTGACCCATCTGTTCTGCAGCAGAAAGGGCGCTGGGCTTGAGAACATCCTCTCTTTAATTACTGAAGTCTCCAACATCAGGACCAGCATGTTTGCAGATTTTCTGCAATTTCAACTACTCAGGGCCAGAATCTTTCTTACAAGAAAAGTTTTCCTAATGTGTAGGGAACTTGTAAAGGTCAACATTTTGGTTACTCTCTTTGACTGAAAAAGCAATAAAACTTGGGGTGTCATACAAAATGAATTGTCACTCTATTTAAATACAGAGTAAACATCTTTCTATGGAATACATTAGTTCTCCATATTTTTCCCTATTAATGTGCTTAGCAGTATTTATTCTTTTAATAGTTTTTTGTTTGTTTGTTTGTTTGTTTGTTTAGTAGAGACGGGATTTCACCATGTTGCCCAGGCTGGTCTCAAACTCCTGACCTCAGGCAGTCTGCCCGCCTCAGCCTCCCAAAGTGCTAGGATTACAAGCATGAGCCACTGTGTCCAGTCAGATTTCGTTTTATATTGCCATGATCTAAGAGTTTACATTTGTCAGTATTTCCTCTATAACATACCATGACATCTGAATGACTTATTTCTCTTGGCAACTGTAAGATGATAATGAAATTGATCCTTTCTCTTCACATCCATGAAAAGACTTTACTTCCCTGAATGTCAGCAATGGTCCCTGTGGTTATTTTTTGGGAACTCAAGAGTTTATTTGTGAAAATGCCCAGATAATCAGCTGCCCTTCCATAGACTTCTTTCTCCTGGAGTTCCCTCTACAAAGGCTCCATGTGAAGTAATCCCTGTTTATACTATTGGTGTTCACAGTCAAAAACATTTCACCAAGCAAATGCAAGCAGTCACGTGAAAAGTTTTTTGTTGCTGTTTTGTTTTTTAAAAAGACAGAGTCTCATTCTGTCACACAAGCTGGAGTGCAGTAGCGTGATCATAGCTCACTGCAGCCTCAAACTCCAGTCGTCACTCAATTCTCCTGCCTCAGCCTTCTGAGTCACTGGGATTACAGGTGCACACCATTGCACCTGGCTCCCAGTGAAAAGGTTTCATCTGTTTAAGTCCCGTCTTAGCTCTGGCTGCCACAACAAAACACAACAGATTTGGCAGCTTACATAACAGAATATATTTTCTGACAGTTCCAGAGGCTGGAAAGTCCAAGAACAAGGTGCCGGCTGATTTGGTCTCTGGCGAAGACTCCATTCCTGGCTTATAGATGGCTGTGTTCTCACTGTGTCCCTGCATGGAAGAGCTCTGTTTATAAGGACACAATTCTACCAAGTTAGGGCCCTATCCTTCTGACTTAATTTAACCTTAGGTACCTTCTGAAGACTGTATCTCCAAATACAGTCATATTAGGAATTGGGGCTTCAACATATGAATTTTTGGAGAGGACACAATTCATTCCATAGCAGTTACCCGTCCACAACACACCTGCATATTATAAACAAAGGGTTGACTTCTATCCCCCATGCTAATAGAGAGATCACTCAAACAAATAGTTCAAAATGGGAGTATGGCCTCTAAACTATTTATATCTCACATTGGACTAAATTATGCATTTGGTTTTACCATTTGTTGTGTTACCTAAGATTTACCGTGCTGCATTTTAAATTTTACTTGAGTTGTTGTTAACAGTAAATCATGTCCCGTGAGCATCTGCCAATTGAAAATAAGTGAAGAAAAAGTTTTCAAACATAATCAACAGGGTGCCTAAGCTATCCAAGGATTGTCAACTCACTGTGTCATCTTCCCACTCTTTATTTATTCTTGAGATATTTACTGAGACCATGTTGGGCGAGGCCCTGTACTGGTCTCTGTGATGGTATCTTCAGAAGCTTTCACTTTAGTAGACAACGTAAGTCACACAACTAAGTAACGGCACGCATGGTAGAAAGTGATATGTTCTGTAGGAGAGATATAGAAAAAATTGTCCCGATATAGAAAAAATTGTCCCTATGGCAGTTTAAAGAGGGAAGAGAAGCTTCAAAGGAGGTGATGGGCAGACAGCATTTGAAATAGGTCTTAAGTGATAGGTTGAATTTGGACATTTGGAGATAACGGGTAAAGAAATGCCAGGCAGAGGAAGCAGAATTCATTTGAAATAAAGTTAACTACTCTTGAAGAAACTGCATATCTGTGCTGTTAATTTAGAGCTCTCTTGTAATGTGACTACAACTTTGGCAACATGAAGAGATAAAAACGATACTACTCACCAAAATGCAAATTCTGACCCATTGAATAATAAACTGATTAATAAGGCCATCCCTGAGAAGAATGTCTTTTGTTCATATAGCTCAGAATAAATTGTTGCATGGTAACAATGGAACCAGCCAGTTCATTGCACTTCCCTCCCATAGACTGAGAATGAAGCTTTCTTGTTACTAGATTACATTTTTGAAGAAAGAAATATATATATATAATACTGCCCTTTAGAAGGAAAGCATAATTTCCATTCCAAACATTGGTTTTGGGTGGCAGACACACACACTCATTAGGACAATTCTCTGTGGCATAATCAACATTGCTGTTGAATGTATTTCTGATGGAAAAAAAATCCCAAAAATACACTTGAACTTGTATAATCTCTGAAAAATTATACCTTTCTTTAATGTTTTACCCCCAAAATTTCTTTTGTAGTTAATGCCCATGATGAATCAAATAATGAACCAATGAGTTAGCCTAAACACAAAAGGGCCAGAAAAAGAAAAAAAAAAAGAACTATGCTAATAAAAAAGATCAGAATATGCCACCCTTAAATATGCCACTTTGACATAAAAATTATTTGAGCTGAAGGCACTAGAGAAACAGCAGATACAGGAAGAATTCTCTGGCCTTCCTCTTTCTGCCTGAAAAACAGGGAATACATTTTTATTTGTAAAGGCGTCTCCCTCTCCTGTACCAGGAAGAGGAGAATGACTCTTAATCATGCAACATAACGCTTATCACTAGAGACTTGCGTTTGAATTAAAAAAAAAAACTTACTAAATAACCCTTGTCTATATATAATATATATTTTATATATATATAATTTTTTCCACAATTTATCACACCTAGAAACCCCTTTTCTTTTGTCACTTCTTCACAATGTATCACCCTTTGTTAAAATAGTATATAAGCTCTCAAACTTAACCATTTCTTTGGGATTTCACTTCTTTTCTGCAAAGCTGCCACATGCATTTGAAATAAAATGTTTTTTCCTGTTACTCTGTATTTTATCAGTTTGATTTGCAAGCTCCAGTTACAGAACCTAAGGTGATAGAAAGAAGTTCCCCTAGATTGGCAACATCATGACTATCCAATAAATGTTTGTAGAAAGATGCCAACAGCCTTTAGGTACTCCCAAAGGATCAGATAATTATTAGATCTAGGAGGTGGGGTCGGGAGTGGAGTATCTCGAGACCATGCCAAACTTCTCTTTACCAATGAAGAAACAGGGACTGGGAGTCTTATTTGTGACACACAGCCCAAGCACTCACCGCGAATTTACATTTAAGTTACCAATTAGAGGTATGTTTGCAAAATGAGTCTTCTGACTGCATTGCAGAATCCTTTCTGCTATTCCCTGGTGCCTCTCAACTCACACAACCAGAGAAACCCAGTTTAACCTTTTTTATTTGTGTCTGTTTTTAACACATGTATGTTATTCTTATTTGATTACCAGTGTGATAGAAAATATCCATAGAATCCTGAGATGAGTTGGGCAGATAATAAATCTCGACTTGCTGGACGCTTAGACTTGGAGGACTTCCTTTGAACACAGAAGTACGTCCTGCCATTTGAAGATTTGAAGATGCATGTGAAAATGAGATTTTTTGAGGTTTTGTTTCCCAGGCAACTGCTCTCAATTCAAGATTGGATGTGAGCATTAGAATCCCCCCAGAGGTACTCTCCCCCTCCCACCCTCATCCTCTTTACTGCAATGAAGCTGTAGACTCAGAGGACCCAGCGTTCTAGCCTCCTTTGGAGACTGAAAGCAGATGCAGAGAAGGTTAAGAAATGATGCGAAATTCGTAAGCATAAAATGCCTGCAGGCAAGCAAAGCATTCTAAAAACATTCAGTGCCGAGAAAAGGCACGTGTTGACCAACGTATGGGGAGGCTAGAAAAGATGGGAAAAGAAGCCATTCTGTCATCGGTCATAACCTTCCAATATCATTTTATCTCAGCAGATAATGGAACAGGGAAAGCCAGGTTTTTCAAAGCCATAAAGTAAAGCTTTAGTAGCTGAATGACAACTAAATTGCTGTCGGGGTGGTTTAGCACAAAACAAGCCACTACTGTTCTCTGTTAAAACAGTTCCTGAGATTTGCAAGCCAAGGAATCCAAAATCACCCAAGCAGTCAACATGACTTAAAGATTTTCCAGTAGTTTCAGGGCCCATTAAATTTATGTAATATCTACAATATCAACTATGAAAAAAATGTTTTGTATTCATGGATAAAATGTAAGTGGCTACTTCTCCAGAAAAGAGTATATGTCTTTTCTACCAGAAACTTCAGCTTTTTGAAGCAATGGAGAGTTTCACAGTGGGGGGGTCTGGCGGCATGGGACATCTTAAACTGGTTATTTCAAAGGTATTTTTTTCTTTCTCAATGTGATCATGGCACTAGACTTTAGATATAAATCATAAGAAGCACATGTCGAATTTGACATTGGTAAACAAAAGTAACCATTGAGCCCCTAGGAGTTAGAACATTTTCTTGGCAGGTTAAAGGTAAAAATGTGTTCTTTAAAAGAAAGATCCAGATGAAAGTATTTGTCATTAAACTTTCACTATTTCTCTCTCTCTCCACACACACACACACACACACACAGTTATCGATCTATCGCTTCTTCTATCAAGTGTATTTCTGAGAAATAGTCTAAGAATATCTAGCTTAGCAATTCTTTTCAGTAATGAAGCTTGTGTAGAAGAAGAGGTATGTGTGATGTGAATTCTAGACTATTCTAGAAGACTATGAGCTTTTTTCTGAATTTCAAGAAATCTTGCTATCTTTTCTTGATGAAATTAACCTATATACCACTACCCTGTATTTTCTGTGGAGCTAAGATAATAAGGTCCTCAAGTTTTCATTTCCCAATAATTTTTCTAATTTCTTTTGTTTCATTTTGATGCCAGGACCCACGAGACTGAGAGAATTAGCTATTGAACTTTTCAGAGAGCTCAGTTGTTTTTGTTTTTGCTCAAGTTGTTTTCCCCCATCACCTAGAAGGCATTTAGACCATCCCTTCCCCTCAGCTATGCCCACATTTCTGACTCTCTAAACAGGTGGATATTCCAGAAGTGTAAACCCGTCTTAATGGCCCAATAATTCTCTAGATGTGTGGACGCAGAGGGAACAGAGAAGGGTCATATGCTTCCTAAATTCAGGACTAGCCATGTGACTTTTCCTTATGGTGTCTTGATTTGATTATATAAATAAAACAAGCGGAAAATCCAGAAAGCTTTTCTCCAAGCCACACTTTCATAGTGTAAATATCAGGCCTTAAGCAGAATGAGATGCTCACAAAATGTCAGATCTATTTATGGGAGGAGTTTTTAGGGTAAATAGAGCAAAATGAACACTCAGATGACTGGCAAGGAAATAAAGCATTGTAGGACCTACATAGTTCAGATGGCACTTTAAGTGGCCAGGAGATGGTGCCAATTTGCCAAACATTTAAGTGGTTATAATTTCAGGCTGTGAAAAATAATATCTTCTCTTTTAACTCAAGAGGGCCAGTACTTTTATGGTGTTTATTATACCCAAGGGACAACTAATTTCATAAAACCTAAGGTAGGAATGAAGAAAAGACAAAAAAAAAGTCAAGAAAAGAAAGAAAACAAGAAAACAAAGAATGAAAAGGAAAATAAATAAGATAAAGAGTATAAAATGTGGAAAAATAAAATATAAAGAAATGTAAGGATGAAAGAGAGGATAATTGTAAAGTTGCCTCTGAAATCTGAAAGAGCGTGATCCCCTATCTGTGCAGAACAGAGTTGAAGAAACAGAACAATTGTGACTAATTCTTATTATGATTATGCACATTCAAAATGCCGAAGATAAAAACTACATAATTTCAAACACTTTTTCTGTTTCAGAGTTTTGCTGAAAGTTCCTTAGGCATTTGTGTCTATGAGCAATTCCAAAATTCTATGTTGCAATATAATAAGCTCAGAATTTTGTATATGGCAGGGGTGTTAGGAAAGATTTGATCTGAACTCCTCATTGTGCAGATAAAGAAACTAAGGAAGATTTTCCCAGGTCCAGAAGCTTGTTTTCCCTTCATTTCCATGCAACAGGAACAAAGGAGAATGTGGGCAGATAAAGAAACTAAGGAAGATTTTCCCAGGTCCAAAAGCCTGTTTTCCCTTCATTTCAACGCAACGGGAACAAATGAGAGTGTGGTAATGGAGCCAGAAGGGGGCGCATGATGATCGCTGATGACGAATTTTGACGGTGCAATCTGGATGTTAATTTCGCTGACCTTGAAGTCAGGGTGGCCTACTTGCAGCATTGTTCTATATAACTTCAGCCTCAAATTGAAAACCATACATATTTCGTGGTAGGCATCTTGCTTTTAGAAATTTGATGTAGGGAGGGACAACTTCATGGATTTCTAAAGCAAGGTTTGTTTTACAGGCCCAATTTCTTCCTTTCCCAAGCCAACTAATCAAACATGCTTTTGAATGTATTTGCTGGATTCCAAAATATTTCAGACACTTATTTATAAAGGAATGATTTTAAAATAGGATCCAATTTTTGTTCTGTAAATGTTTAAACTGAATATTTCCTAAGACCATCGGCTTGTTTTCAATGAATTTTTTTGCAAAGGGAATGTTTAAAGTGTTTTTAAAACCTCAGAGTTAAATCATTTTCAAAACTTGTTTCCTGGGAAAGTTTTATTTGTTAGTACCCAAAGTTTTTCTACACATTGCATAAGCTGACCAATTCTTCTCCACATATACCAGGCTAAGAGAAGTGAATAAAAAGGCCATCACAGTGTCCATTTTTTCCATGACAAAAATAACACATGCTCAAAAAAGTTTAAAAATGTAGAACTATAAAAATTAGAAAAATGTTCTTTATAACAATCACTATCAACATTTAGCTATATTTTCTTTAGGGGCCTTTTTAAAAAAACAATTCTCCAACCTCCACTGTTTGTCTAAAATTGTCATAAAAGAATTTTATTATTATTATTACACTTTAAGTTCTAGGGTACGTGTGCGCAAGGTGCAGGCTTGTTACATATGTATACATGTGCCATGTTGGTGTGCTGCACCCATTAACTCGTCATTTACATTAGATATATCTCCTAATGCTATCCCTCCCCATTTCCCCCACCCCACGACAGGCCCCGATGTGTGACGTTCCCTACCCTGTGTCCAAGTGTTCTCATTGTTCAATTCCCACCTAAGAGTGAGAATATGTGGTGTTTGGTTTTCTGTCCTTGCAATAGTTTGCTCAGAATGATGGTTTCTAGCTTCATCCATGTCTCTACAAAGGACATGAACTCATCCTTTTTTATGGCTGCATAGTATTCCATGGTGTATATGTGCCACATTTTCTTAATCCAGTCTATCATTGATGGACATTTGGGTTGGTTCCAAGTCTTTGCTATTGTGAATAGTGCCACTATAAACATACGTGTGTATGTGTTTTTATAGCAGCATGATTTATAATCCTTTGGGTATATGCCCAGTAATCAGATGGCTGTCAAATGGTATTTCTAGTTCTAGATCCTTGAGGAATCGCCACACTGTCCTCCACAATGGTTGAACTAGTTTACAGTCCCACCAACAGTGTAAAAGTGTTCCTATTTCTCCACATCCTCTCCTGCACCTGTTGTTTCCTGAATTTTTAATGATGGCCATTCTAACTGGTATGAGATGGTATCTCATTGTGGTTTTGATTTGCATTTCTCTGATGGCCAGTGATGATGAGCATTTTTTCTTGTGTCTGTTGGCTGCATAAATGTCTTCTTTTAAGAAGTGTCTGTTCATATCCTTTGCCCACTTTTTGATGGGGTTCTTTGATTTTTTTTCTTGTAAATTTGTTTAAGTTATTTGTAGATTCTGGATATTAGCCATTTGTCAGATGGGTAGATTGTAAAAATTGTCTCCCATTCTGTAGGTTTCC